>NW_021160004.1:0-270122 GCF_000001405.40 Homo sapiens
GAATTCTCAAAACATAACAATAAAAAACCCCCAAAACCCAATAAAGCAAAGGGTAAAAGATTTGAGCTTTACTAGAGACACGGGGCTGTCAACGGAGCACATGAAAAAATGCTCAGCATCGTGAGTATGTTACTGAAAATCCAGGGCTTCAGTCCAGGTCCTGCCATGCATTGCACAGAAAGCCAATCGCTGAGACAAGTACTGCCAGGGAAGAAGGCTTTAATTGGGTGCTGCAGCTGAGGTGATGGGAAATCAGTGTCAAATCCATCTCCCCAACCAGCTAAAATCAGGGGCTTATATGGCAGAGGAGAAATGTAAACCACTTGTGGGAAACAGGAAATAGAGAGGCCTAAGAAAGAGTTGGTCAGCAGTAAGCAGGTGGTGGGTTAGGCAGTCATAACGGGTGAGGGGTCCAGCATCTCATTTTCCAAATGCAGAGATCTGGTGAGTTTCAGCTCCTTGACACTATCTGGGAGACATGATGGCTGGTTTCCGGAGAAGGGAACTCAGAGATAAGACAAATGTAACTCTCTCAAGTTTTAAGACTGGGAGGATCAATTTCTATGTTTATTCAAAAGAAACCATCGACATCACCTCTATGGGACAGTTGGGTTGGTTTCAGTATTAAGAAAATTCAAAATAAATCCACAACGAGTTACCACTACATATTTATTAGAATAGTAAGTTAAAAGAAAATAACAGGCCAGGTGCGGTGGCTCATGCTTGTAATCCCAGCACTTTGGGAGGCTGAGGCAGGAGGATCACTTGAGGCCAGGAGTTTGAGGCCAGCCTGGCCAACATGGTAAACCCCATTTCTGTCAAAAATACAGAAATCAGCTGGGTGTGGTGGCACACGCCTGTAGTCCCAGCTGCTCGGGAGGCTGAGGTGGGAAGACAGTTTGAACCTGGGAGGTGGACGCTGCAGTGAGTGAGATCGCGCCACTGCACACCAGCCTGGGTGACAGAGCCAGACCCTGTCTCAAAATAAATAAATAAATAAATAAAAATTTAAAAACGAGAAGCACTGCATGCCAGGAGGATGTGGAGTGGCCAGAACCTTGCCCGTCGCTGCTGGAAAGGTGAGACGGGGCAGCCATGCTGGCAAGCGGTCAGGCAGCTTCTTGTAGAGTCTAAGGTGTGCTCAGATGTGATCTGCCATCAACTCCAAGGTATCTGGAGTGAAACAAAAGCTCATGTTCACACAAGCACCTGTACACACATGTTTAAAACAGCATTATTCATTAGCATGAGATGTTACAAACAACCCCAAAGCCCTTCAATGTACGAACAGATAAACGTACTGAGATAGACCTGTGCACGGAATATTCCTAAGCAAAAAAAGGAACCAATTGCCTGTCCGGGTGGCAACGCGGATGGCTCTCAAATGCGTCATGCTGAGTGAGAAAGGCCAGACCTACAGGCTGCACGATTCCAATTGTGTGACATTCTGGAAATGACAGAAACTATAGGGACCAAAAATGGGTCAGTGACTGCCAGGAGTGAAGGGTGGGAGGGTTGACCACAAAAAGGAAGCTTCAGGGACAATTTTGTGGTGACAGGATTGCTCTAGATCCTGGTTTTAGTGGAAGTTATGTAACTGTATGTATTCATCAAAACTCACAGACCTGTACACGCACAAACAAGTGAAGTTCACTGTCCGTAAAATAAAAACTGCATTTAAAGACACAATATTCATTCTTTCAAAAGTTTACTGTCAATCAGTCAATCTCCTCCTCCTCCTCCTCTCTGGGAATGTGAGGTCCTTATAACCTCAAACTCTAATCTCTCTCTCCTATTCTTAGGTATTATAGGTGAGTATTTTATTTCTACTTTTTTTTAAACCCCTATGGCTTGTTTTATTATTTCTAAGTTAATTTTTTTTAGTTGTACATAAATGTTAACCAGTTATTTAACTCATCATTTCTTCTTGTGCCTTTTTTTTTGAGATGGGGTCTCATTCTGTCACCCACTGGTGCAATCTTGGCTCACTGCAGCCTTGAACTCCAGGGCTCAAGCGATCCTCCCACCTCAGCCCCCCAAGTAGCTGGGACTACAAATGCGTGCCACCATGCCCCTAATTTTTTTTTTTTTTGGTAGAGACACGGTTTTGGTATGTTGCCCAGGCTGGTCTCAACCTCCTGGGCTCAAGTGATCCTTTAGCCTCAGCCTCCCAAAGTGCTGGGATTAGAGGCGTGAGCTACGGTGCCCGGCCTTCTTCTTGTGCTTGATGAGTCTTCCTGGCTAGAATTTCTTCCTGAAATCGACTCATTAATAGTTTCTTTAGTTTGACTCAATTCAATTTAGTTAATTGAATTTGGTATGCAAATAAAACACCTTCATTTCCTCCCAGGTCTTGAATAATCATTAGATGGGTAAATGTTTCTATGCTGGCAGGGGTCTCTTACAAGCAATTTGGGTTTTTTTTTGTTTTCTTGTGTTTTTTTTTATTTTTTATTTTTTTTTTGTGACAGAGTTTTACTCTGTCATCCAGGCTGGAGTGCAGTGGCTCAATCTCAGCTCACTGCAACCTCTGCCTCCTGAGCTCAAGCCATTCTCCTGTCTCAGCCTCCTGAGTAGCTGGGACTACAGGCAGGCGTCACCACACCCGGCTACTTTTTATATTTTTAGTAGAAACAGGTTTCACTGTGTGGGCCAGGCTGGTCTCGAACTCCTGACCTCAAGTAATCCACCCGCCTCGGCCTCTCAAAGTGCTGGGATGACAGGCGTGAGCCACTGCACCTGGCCTCCCACGAGCAATTGGAAATGTACGTCCACATTCTTCATACTCCTGTTTTTGCCAAGAGACCTGCTTTCAGCGTATTAGCCATCTTTTGTTGGGTGATCTGGCACGATCCTAAATTGTGTGAACATCGTTCTCTTGCCTTTTCTTCTGGCTACTGTTTATGAACGCCTCCCCAACTCGTCTCCATCAGTTTCTCTGGCTTTTCCAGTTTGTATACAGGACATCCTGTCAGGTGAAGTGCCTGTTCAGGTCATTTGCCCATTTTTGATCAAATGATCCCCATATCCTCACTGATTTCCAGGAGCCCTTTTTATTCTGGACACCTGTCCTTTTCAGTGATAAGTGTGGCAAATATCTTCTCCAGCTCCATAGATTATCTTCCCACTGCTTATGGAGATTTGTTTTATCAACTTTATTAAGATATGATTAAATACAATAAAATGCACAGATTTTTTTTTTTGAGATGGAGTCTTGCTCTGTCACCCAGGCTGGAGTGCAGTGGCGCGATCTTGGCTCACTGTAAGCTCTGCCTCCCAGGTTCACACCATTCTCCTGCCTCAGCCTTCTGTGTGGCTGGGATGACAGGCGCCCGCCACCACACCAGCTGATTTTTTGTATGTTCAGTAGAGATGGGGTTTGGAGTTTCTCATGCTTCTTTAGACCATGGCTGGGGCTCCTTTCGGCAGTGATCACGTCCACTTCTCATCTCCGTTCCATTCTCTCTCTAAGGCTCCACCACCTGCTAGACGCTCTCCTGCATCCCGCCTCACCCATCGCGCCTGCCGGTTCTGCCTCCCGCATGCTTTTGTCTTCCTTCCAGTTCACGAATTCTCTTTCAAGGGGCACCCACTTGCTAGCAGGTCCGTTTCCGCCACCACCGAGGTTTTTCTATTTTTTAATTCTAGAATTTCCATTTGATTCTTTTTCATAATTTCAAGTTTTATGCCAGATTTGGTTTATCTAATTTCTTGAAGATAAGACTCAGAGTTACATTAAAGAGATACATGACAATATTCCCCGTGCAATGGCTCATGTGAGACAGCCCCCCAGCCATAACAAAGCAAGGGGTCCGTTTCCCCGGGGGACACGTTCCAGGACCCCCCCAGTGGATGCTGGACACTGGGGACGGCAGACAGCCCTGAACCCTCTATATACACACCTGTGTTAAAGTTTAATTTATAAATTAGGCACAGTAAGAGATTCACAATAACCGACAGTAAAAGAGAACAATTGTAAGAGTATACTGCAACAAAGTTACGAGATGTGGCCTATGTTGCGCTCACCCTTCTTCCTGTGAGGCAAAAGGGATGGAGCCCGCAGGGCACGAGAGCTCCTCGTGCTACTCAGAACACTGCACAATTTGGAACTTACAAGGCGGGGCCTGGTGGCTCATGCCTGTAACCCCAGCACTTTGGGAGGCCAAGGCAGGTGGATCACCTGAGGTCAGGAGTTCGAGACCAGCCTGGGCAACATGATGAAACCCTATCTCTACTAAAAATACAAAAATCAGCCAGGCGTGGTGGTGGGTGCCTGTAATCCTAGCTACTCAGGAGGCTGAGGCAGGAGAATTGCTTGAACCCAGGAGGCAGAGGTTGCAGTGAGCCAAGACCGCACCACTGCACTCCAGCCCAGGCCACAGAGAAAGACATTGTCAAAAACAAAAAACAAAAAACAAACAAACAAACAAAAAAAAAAACCTTATGAATTGCATCTTTCTGGAATTTTCCATTTAATGTTTTCAGACCATACTTGGCCATCGGTAACTGAACCCACAATGAGGGGTGACTACTGTGGCACAGCTCGAACAGCGAGAATCTGTTGTCTCTCAGTCCCGGAGGCTGGAGTCTGAGATCAACCTGTGGCAGGGCTGTTTCTTCCCAGGCCGCTCTCCATGGCTTGCAGACGCTGCCTTCTCCCTGTGTGCCCTCAGAGCCGTCCCTCGGTGTGTGTTTGTCCTTACCTCTCCTTCTTGTAGGGACACAGCCACACTGAATTAGGGCTTTCCCTGGAGACCTCATTTTAACTTAATTGCCACTTTAAAGATTCCATCTCAAACAGCCTGACTAACATGGTGAAACCCCATCTCTATTAAAAATATAAAAAATTTAGCCAGGCGTGGTGGCACACACCTGTAATCTCAGCCACTTTGGGAGGCTGAGGCAGGATAATCACTTGAACCCACCCGGGAGGCATAGGTTGCAGTGAGCCGAGATTGTGCCACTGCACTTCAGCCTGGGTGACAGAGTGAGACTCTGTCTCAAAAAAAAACAAAAAGAAGATCCCATCTCGAGCTACAATCACATCGTTAGGCACCGAGAACTAGGATTGCAACATGTGAATTTTGAGAGGACACAATTTAGCCCATAACACAACTGCTCAAAGCGCATTTGGGAGGTTGCAGAAGTGAAAGGATTTCTGTGTCCCCAAACCGGGGGCCCACAGGGGCCGCCTTCTCTATGACCAGACCTCATGCAGAAAGACTTTGATTTGAAAGTGAGATCAGACCCGTCTCCTGGAGGCTGCAAGCTCCGGGGGAGTCAGGAATGGAATAGGATCTCAGGTCCTTGGGCAGCACCCGACCCCCGACGGCAGCGCCAGTGTGTCCCAAAGAGGAGCCTGCAGGGAAGAGATGCTGATGTTGAACGGGGCCAGGCCATGGTGCATGGCGAGCCTGAGTGGCACTGTGTTAGGACAAACAAGAAATCCTCCCCTTGCAGAAGGCTCTGGGCCTGGGCCTTGCCTGTGTCCCCTCCCCTGCAAGGAACCACCCTTCCTCCATGGAGGGGCAGCTTGGTGGGCCTGTCCATCAACTGGTGGCTGTGGCCATGCTCCCCGAGAAGGAAGACCGTGTCATTCCAGGGACTGCTCATGGGCTCCCGGACCAGGAAGCCTGAATGGGCTCTTTGGTTCTTTCTTCTGGTCTGACGGCTGCCCCTCCTTCCAATAAATGCCCTCTTTTCTTCCTGGCTTAAGTTCGCCAGCTTCAGTTTGTGTTATTGCAACCAGAGAGCCTTAACCATCCCCAGGGCTCTGTGATGATTCCACTGGAATTTCCCGGTGGTGGTGGGGCACTGAGGCCCTGGGGAGGCTACGGCCCTAGGAGGCTGGGCCTGGGGCATGGGCGGCCAGGAGCCTGCTGGGTGGCTGGGCGCTCTGGGCATCACGTCCAGGGCCTTCCCGGGAGAAAGGCCAGATACAGGCCCAAACACCAAGCTCTTTCCCTCCCTTCCCCAGGAGAAGGGCCCCATGGGAGCAGGGGTGTCTCCTTCCATAAACGGACAGGGGCTGGGCTCACGTGTGAGTCCCCTAGAAGGGGTGACAACTTCTGGCCTTTCTGAGAATACTCCAGGATGACAAGGTGGGGAGATGTGGAGCTGCAAGAAGTGCTAGCATGTTCCTCGGGAATGAGGAGATCTCAGAGTCATGAGGGCTTAACCCACATTGTAGTGGGCCCAGGAATGGGACTAACTTCTGGATAAACTCAGGGAGAATGCACCAGAAGACAGCAGCCCACAGAGCTGCCTTGCCACGCATTCCCGGGATGAAGGCAGCTGAGGCAGGAGCTCTAGGCTGGCTAAGAACACAGGTGTCATCCAGGACCACTTGATGTCAGCTGGGGCCACCCAAACTGCCTCAAAACCTACAAACGGTGGCTGTGTTGGCCATGCATGGGGCACCCCATGTAAGAGCAAATGGCGCAGGTGACCCACCTGTTGGAGTGGGTCTGGTTGGACAAACCAAGGGGTGTCCACGCTGGGGAGCCTCTGTGGCTGACAGTGGGTGAGAGGCTCTGGGCAAAGCTGTGGCTGGTCTCCCAGACCCGTGTCTGGGGCACTCAACATGGGGCAGACCAGATGGGGATTAACACACTGTCGTTTACTAAGAAAGGTTTTGGGGTGTGAATAAATATCTTTTAAAAGATGGAACTGTCAATCAAAGCTTGCAAAAAGAGACCGGGCGCCATGGCTCATGCCTGTAATCCCAGCACTTCGGGAGGATGAGGCGGGCAGATCACATGAGGCTAGGAGTTTGAGACCAGCCTGGGCAACATGGCGAAATCCCGTCTCTACTAAAAATACAAAAATTAGCCAGGTGAGGTGGTGGGCGCCTGCAGCCCCACCTACTCAGGAGGCTGAGGCAGGAGAACGACTTGAACCCAGGAGGCGGAGGTTGCAGTGAGCCGAGATCACACCACTGCACTCCAGCCTGGGCAATACAGCAAGACTCTGTCTCAAAAAAATAAAAATAAAGCTTGCAAAAAGGGGCAAGGGGCACCTGAAAGAGACAGCAACCAGGATGCTGAGCAACCTGCCTGTGCCCTGTAGTTTTTTCAGTCATAAAACAGTTCACATAAAACAGTTCACAGTCATAAAACGGTTCAGATAAACGTATGCACTCCAAGAAGTCAAGAAAGAAACTTAAAATCCTGTAGGTAAATTAGAAATATCAGTATGATTCCATGATATATTTACCTTTAAAAATATATATTTCCAGCTGGGCCACAGTGGCTCACTCCTGTAATCCCAGCACTTTGAGACGCCTAGGCGGGTGGATCACTTGAGGTCAGGGGTTCAAGACTAGCCTGGCCAACATGGTGAAACTCTGTCTCTACTAAAAATACAAACATTAGTTGGGCATGGTGGTGCATGCCTGTAATCCCAGCTACTCAGGAGGCTGAGGCAGGAGAATTGCTTGAACCCAGGAGGTGGAGGTTGTAGTGAGCTGGGATCATGCCACTGCACTCCAGCCTGGGTGACAGAGCAAGACTTTATCTTAAAAAAACAAAACAAAAAAAAGTTATTTCCTAAGCCAGTCAAAAAAAGAAAAAAGAAAAGACAAATACTGTATGATTCTATTTGTATGAGGTCCCTAGAGTAGTCAAATTTATAGTGACAGAAAGTAGGATGGCGAGTGCCAGGGGCTGGGGGAGGTGGAGGGGGAGTTGGATTTAATGGGAGCAGAGCTGCTGCTTTTCGAGACAAAAGGCATTCTGGAGCTGGATAGTGGGATGACAGCAGCGCGAATGTACTGAATGCCACGGAACTGTGCACTTAGAAGATGGTAAATTTTGTTACACATATTTTACCACCATACAAAAACTGGAAAAATAGGTCTTGCCTAATTCTGTCCACAGTAAAAGCTTAGAAACAATGAAAATAGACTAGTAGCAATGAGCACCCTGGCACCCAAAGTGGGACCTCTAAATACCCACCAAACTCCCTTCAAAAAGAACCGTGAACCCTTGGAGAAATGACTGGTTCTGGGCTGAGCCATGACATAGCCATGACATAAGATAAACCTGGAACTTCTCATTGCATCAGAAAGCTAAGAAACAATCAAAGACTACTGAGGTCATTTCAAGATGACATACCAGTCAACTTAAATGTATCCCCATTGACCAAATGTGGGACCACATGGTCACCAGTAAAGACAATAAGTTCAATGAATGGAAGGGCATTGTGTCAGGCACACCCTAATGCGGCCTCCAGTGAGTAATGGCCTTATTTAATCCCCTGCCCTGAGGCAGGGCAGAATCTGTGATTTTTCTTTGACTGAGAGATTAAAGCAAAAGTGAAGAGACTTTGCAGATATAATTAAGTTCCTAACCAGTTGACTTTGAGTTAATCAAAAGGAGATTTTTCTCAGTGGTCCTGACTTAACAGGCAAGCCCTTTGTAAGAGAGTCTAGGGCTTCTCTGAAGTTAGAGACTCGAAGGGGCAGAGACCCTCTCTCTCTGTTGCTGGCTTTGAAGGAGGAAGCTGCCATGAATTCTGCAACTTCATGGAAATAAGTTCTGCCAAAACCTAAATGAGCCTGGAAGCTGCTCCCTCCCTAGTTGGGTCTCCAGATGAGAACACAGCCTGGCTGACAGCTTGATCTCAAGCTAGTGAGACCCTGAGTGAGGAATCTGGCTAAGCTATACCAGGACATCTGGCATACAGAAGTGCATATACTAAATGGGAGCTTTATGTTTGTGGCAATTTGTTCCACAGCCATTGAGAATTACTGCACACATTCAATACAGTACATTTAAGTAATATACTTCAATTTATGATTTCACAATAATATATATTTAAAATAATCAATATTTTTCTCTGCCTTCCCTGTACCAAATATTTGATGTGGGAAAGTGTATCTTTAGAAGAACTCTTGCAAATAAATGCTGAAGAAATACCAAGTTTAGAAAATTGCAATTTTGCAACCCCTAATGAAATGATGGATCTAGGGCAGTGGTCCTCAACTGGGGGCAGTTTTGCCCCTCTGGCAATATCTACAGGTATTTTTGATTGTTGTAACTGAGAGTTGCTGTAGGGATCAGGGATGCTGACAAATATCCTAAAGTGCACAGGACAGCCCCACAGCAAACATTATCTGGCTGGGTTAGAAAGACCCTAAGGTGAACCACAGTGATTTCTGCTTCCTGTTGGCTGTGCTTCTGTGTTGTCCCCTCTCCTTGAAAGTGTTAACCAACAGAATATGGCAAAGGTGGTAGATGTCACACCTGGGATTATATTATAGTATATAATATTCTGGAGTCACTCTCTCTGTCTCCTGCTGGCCTTGAAGAAGCAAGAGCCATGTGTGAACTGCCTTTGAGGGGCCCACAAGACTGGGAACTATGGGTGGCCTGCAGGAAGTGAGGACCTCAGTGCTACAACCACAAGGACCTGAATTCTACCAACAAGCTAAGTGAATGCAAAGCAGGCCCTGTCCCAGTTGGACCTTCAGATGAGAATGCAGCCCCAGCTGACACCATGGGATCCTGAGGTAGAGAACCCAGCTAAGTTGTGCCCCAGGCTTCTACCCACAAAAACTGTGAGATAAGAAACATGTGTTGTTCTAAGCCACTAAGTTTGTGGCAATTTGTTCCACACCATAGAAAACTAACAGCCTGGCCCCAAATGCCCACAATGCCAAGACTGAGAAACCTAACTTAGGGCTTGTTGTTGTGGTTGTTTTCTACAAGGGCTGAGTTGCAAACACATCTGTCTTTGCAGGCCATTTGCTCTCTGTCATTGTGTCTGTTTTTTATCACTGTGTAATAAATCACCACAAACCCAGCTGTGAAACAAATCCTGTGCATCCTGTGGAACAGAGCTCTGGGCATTCCTGTAGGGCTTTTTCCTTAGGTCCTCACTGGCTGAGAGCAGATGCCAGCCAGGCTGGGCTCCTCTCTGGAGGTGCTGGGGAAGACTCCACTCTCGGGGCATTCACGGTGTGGACACAATTCGGTTCTTGTGTTTGTAGGTCCCCATCTTCCTGCTGGCTGTAGGCAGGGTGACTCTCTGCAGGAGGTCGTGCTCAGTCCTTTCCCCTGGTTCATGGAGAGCCTTCCTCGAGGAGAATCACTGTGAATCCCTCTCAATTTCTCTCCTACCACCAGCTGGGGGGTAAAAAAAACAACCCAAACTCTGCTTTTACAGGGCTCATGGGATTCAACCAGGCCCACCGTGATCCTCTCTCTATTTTAAAGTCAACTCATCAGCAGCCTAAACTTTATCCGCAAAATGCCTTTTGCCAGACAACATAACACACTCACAAGGGTGAGAATTATTCACAATTCTGGGAATCACGGCACAAAGTCTGGGGGGACCTTCTTGGAATCACCACAGCCATGGTACCATGAAAGCAGTCACAGATGGTACATAAGTGAATGAGTGGGGGCCATGTTCCAATAAAACTTTATTTACAAAAACAGATGGGGAATAAGATTTGGCCGGGGGCGACTGTAGTTTGCTGACCCCTGTTCTAGGAAATGTCACCAGCAGCTGCTAAAACCATGAAAAGAAAAGCCACTGGGCACTTAGTGGCTTATGGCTGTAGCTGGCTACACCCAAACCTACTCACTGATCAGCCCCATATCCCAGGAGGAAGTTCCAGGACATCCAGTGCCTCCCGCCATGCACAAAGGAAGTGCCATCTCCCTCCATGAAGCGGCCTTGCCAAAAGGCTTGACCTTACACTGATCAGGCCTCAGCACTATAGAGTAAGGAAAGACACCTGAAACGCTGTGTTGCGACTTGTGAAACCCAGAATGTTGGGAACTCCTTAGGATGAGCGCCCTTGCTTCTTCAACAAATAAGTGGCAAGAATGAAAAGACAGAGGCACTAATTGATCAAAGGGGGCTCCAGAGGCGCAGGAGCAAGATGGCACATGAGTTCCATGTGGGGTGACTTGAAGACACCATCCGTAAGATCCATTGATGAGACAATGGGGGAAATTTGAGCCCTGTCCAGGTTTGATCATATTTAAGAATTACTGGTATTTGTTTAGCTGTGAAAATGGATTTTTGAAAAAGCGTTCTTATCTTTTGGGAACATGAGAAGAGAGACAGAGGCCCACTGCGGCTTGCTATAATAAAAGGAATCTAGAGAGGGTGTTGCAGGGTGGGAGGCACTGGCTGGCTGTTTGGCGGTACTCATGGAATCTAAGGAAGCCTTGGAATGTTTCTGTGTGTGTGTAAAATTCTCCCAATAGAGGGTTTGGGAATAATCTGCCTTCAGACTACAAGGCAAGCTTCAAACGGAAAGGCCCAGGGGCCAGGGGAGCCCCTCAGAGCTGTGGGTACCTGGCTTTCTCTCCACCAAGCACTCCAGGTAAACATGGGTTGTGACTTGTTACGGAGAAATTGCCCCTGGGCATTTGTGAGTCAGGGATGCTGTGTGCCAGAGTGTGGCCAGCAGCAGCTTTTAGGACTCCTTCCCTCCATGTGGCCCTGGGGGCCACTGTTCAAGTTCCCAAGGGACAACCCAGCTTCCCTCCACCTTGGCCTTGGCAGCTGAACGCCTAATTCCTGAGAAGCCTAAAATCACCCAGGGACCGCCCAGTGGGTCTTAAAAGTTTGCTCCTGCACCATCCTACTCACTCAGCACAGCTACAAGCTGCAACAGATATTCGGTACATAGGAGCTTGAGAACAACGGGGCCACACCTACAATGCGGCAGCTTACGAATCGCGCCAGACCCAGCAAGCCAGGATGACAGCCACTGACTATTACCATGAGAATCTTGGGGCCTGCGTGTCCAGCACCACCTCCATGACTGCATAAAGTCATACATGGGAGGGAGGGAGGAGAAGAAGGAGGGAGAGAAGGCAAAATGGAGTAGGTGGATGGATGGATGGATGGATGGATGCTTGGGTTGATGAATGGTTGGGTGGATGGATTGGTGAATGGATGAGTGGGTGAGTGAGCGGGTAGATGAATGAGTAGATGAATGTGTGGATGGATGGATGGATGGATGGATGGATGGATGGATGGATGGATGAATGGATAAATGGATGTTTGGGTGGATAAATGGGTGGGTGGATGAGTGGACAGATGAGTAGGTGGATGGATGGATGGATGGATGGGTGGATGGATGGATGGATGGATGGATGGATGGATAGATGGATGGATAGATAGGTAGATGGAAGGATGGTTGAGTGGATAAATGGATGGGTGAATGAGTGGGTAGATGAATGGATGGGTGGATGGATGAATGAGTGGGTAGATGAGTGGATGGATAAATGGTTGGATGGATGGATGGATGGATGGACTGATGATTGGATGGATGGATGGATGGACTGATGATTGGATGGATGGATGGATGGATGCATGGATGGATGGATGGATGGATGGAAGGATGCATAGATGGATGGATGGATGGTTGGGTGGATAGATGTGGATGGATGAGTGGGTGGATGAGTGGATAGAGGAATGGATGGATGGTTGAGTGGATAGATGGATGAATGGATGGATGGATGAATGGTTGAGTGAATGGATGGATGGATGAATGGTTGTGTGAATGGATAGATGGTTGTGTAGATAGGTGGGTGGATTAGCGGGTAAATGAGTGAGTGGCTAGCTAGCTAGCTACCAATCTATCTACCTATCCACCTGGCTATCCATGTAGCTAGATAGATAGATGCAGAGAGAGGATAGATAGGGGCACACAGAGGATGAAGGAAATGACAGATATGAGCATACCTGCAAACACAGAGCCCCATGGACAGGCAGATGAACACACACTAGCAGGAATAGCCTCTGACATCCCAGCCACCTTACAGCTCTCCGCGCTTCCTACGTGGTAACTTATGGCAGCCCTTGGATGTGTGTACTGCAGAGGGGGCATGTGAGGTTCAGGAGGGCCCTCCTTCTTGCTCAGCATCCTGCAGCTAGTAGGCAGAGGGACCCACACCAAGCGTCTCTGGGTGCCATGCTAGGACCCACAGAAATGCAGGCTTACCCAGGCCCCTGGAGATCAGATGGGCCCACAGAGAGGACAGAAGCTGGGGCCTGTGGATGACCCAGAAGTTCAGACACACCCACAAGTACCAGAAGTACACCAGGGGCCCACAGAAACTCAAGAGCCAAGGAGGATTCTTGGAACCACAGAGGGGAACACACACAGGCAGACACACAAACCCAGACAGCTCTTTTACCAGGATGACTGGATGGGTTAAAGGAACTTTCCTCAGCCCCACACCCCACACCCCACACCTCACGCCAGCCAGATATGCCCACAGTTAGGTCAGGGAGGGGTGGCCGAGAGTAACCAGGGGAGGGTTGGCTTTGGGCCACCAACAATCAGCCAACCCAGCCAGAAGCAGCTGTCACCATGAGGTGACTCTAGGGCCTGAAGAAGCCACTGAGGCCAGCAGTAGAGAGGTTCCACTGCCACCACCCCCAGGCCAACCCTCCTCTCTACCCTAGGGCCTGCCCTGAGCCCTCCAGAGTTCTCTATATTTGGAGATGCTGCCTTTCCGGCCGGCAGCCTTAGCAAGAACCAGCCCTTTGCTGGCCTACTTTGAGCTAATCCCCCAACCCTGCCCTGTGGGCACTGGGCAAACAAGCAGCCAAGTGGGCTGGAAGTGCAGCTGGGAGCCAGTCAGGGTCTCCAGGCAAGGAGAGAGAGGAGCTTGGGAAGTTCCAGGTCCCCAGGTCACCGCAGGGCAGCTTCTAGGTCAACATAGCCTGGCTGGATTCTGGCGAGCTGGTCCTGCGCCCTTGCTGTGTGCCTGCATTGCTTCTGCCTAGAACACTGGCCCTCTGATCTCCAGTCCTAGGACAACTCCCAGGTCACTGAAGGCCCACTGGGCTCTTTTCCCCTGGTAAACACTGTGGGCCTAGGCTCTTGCCTAGCGCTGGGCAG
The DNA here is from genome assembly GCF_000001405.40 of Homo sapiens. NCBI lineage: Eukaryota > Metazoa > Chordata > Mammalia > Primates > Hominidae > Homo > Homo sapiens. The sequence goes on from NW_021160004.1 coordinate 13,877, forward strand.
GCCTCTCCGGACCCCCACATGGGCAGTCTGTGCACCCCTATTCCCCGAAGCATGGGCCTAGGCCTGGTGTTCCCGTGCCATCCCTGGGAAGACGAGCCACCCTGTGGGTGGGTCTGCTCTGACCCGGGGAGGACCTTTCCCGAAGGTCAGAGTCCCTTACCTACCAGCCCCTGACCATGTCCAGTTCTGGAGAGGGTGAGCATGGACAGGGAGGCCCAAGGGGCTGCTGGTGGCCAGGCCTGGGAGGGCAGGCTGGAGTGAGGGGCAGCATACCCAGGGGGCAGGTGGGCTACAGGCCTCTGGAGGCCCCCATATTCCCCCGCCCAGCACCAGGCTCTTGCATGTCTTCACCTCTGTTCAGAATCTGGCCCTAAAAAGGTGGCAGAGGCTGGAGGCTGAGAGCCACCCCAGACTTAATGGAGGTGAACAGGAAGCCCCCGCGATCCAGCGTGGCTGGAACATGCTGTGGCTGTCAGAGGCGGGAAAGGCAGGACAGCCGTACCCGCTGGCTGGGGCTGGGTGGAGGGTGCCCAGAGGAGGGTGGGCCCAGCCTCCTCTCCATCCTGCTGGATGAGGCCAGATTTGGTTGGCTGGCCACTGTGCTGGCCACTGGTGGACCCCATGTGCCCCACTGGGAGCCAAAGGAAGTGGCCAGTGGTGAGGAGCAGAGGTAGAGGCGGTGAGACCTGCAGGCGCTGGGCAGCCCTGGCACCCACCCATGCCCTCACCTGCCAGCGTGTGCTCACAGAGCTGGGTGGCACCTGACGTCTCTCTGTGTGCGCCTTGGCCAGGAGGGCAGTGCAGGGTGCAGGGAGCCAGTGGCCTCCGGGGAACTAAGACCTGGCCCTTCCAAAGCAGGTTTGTGCAGAGTCTAGACAAGCTGCAGAATGTTTCCACCAAGAAGGCAGCTGCAAGAATCGGGGCGACAGTGGAGATCCCAGAGTCACCTGCGGGGCTGACGTGGAGAGAGCGAGTACGTGTGTGCGTGGGTGAGTGTGCACGTGCATTGTGTGCACAGGTGCGTAGCAGTGTGCCCGTGCCTGGCGTGTGCGTGTGTGTGAGGCTGTGTGGGTCAAGCGCCCACACTCACAGGTGAGGGCTGGGGCTGACACTGCCAGAAAGGGTCTCCTGTCCTCTTCCGCCTGCAAGCTGATGCCTAGTGTTAGGCAGGCCCCTCTGGACCCCGACATGGGCAGTCTGTGCACCCCTGTTCCGCGAAGTGTGGGCCTAGGCCTGGTGTTCCCATGTCACCCCAGGGAAGATGAGTCCTGCTGGGTTGCCAACTTCCACAGACCCCGACATGCTGGGTGGCCTTCCGGCTTCGCTGGGTCTTTTTCTCCTTCTCTCCCAGCCACTCAGATGACTTCAGTGGTGGCTTCTCATGCCTCAATGTCAAGGACTTAAGGTGACCCTCTGGGTTGGGGGCGAGGGGAACATCTGAGATCAGGAAGCTAAAACCCCTTCCAGGATGATCTGGATCTCCTGGGGTCACGAACTGCCCTGCTCTGAGCTCCTTTGGGGACGGAGGGTCCCAGGGCAGAGAGCTGTTCCAAAGAGACCCCAGTTCAGAGGCTTCTGTGCAGACCAGGCTCCCAGGACAGAGACTTTTATCTAGAAAAAGGGCCCCTGTGGAGAGGGACCCCAGGAGGAAGGCTCTGAACAGTCAGGGGTCCCAGGACGGCGCCCCTGGGAGCAGGAGGGTCCAGGCCTGCACTGGAGAGGCCTGCGAGAGGCCTGTGTACGGAAGGGGGCGCCCGAACGCCTGCCAGGCCGGCAGGCTGGGCTGGGAGGCAGCAGGCGGAGTCTGGCCCGTAGGGCAGGGAGGGAGCAGGGGTCGGGCGGGAGCCGGAGGTCAGGCCACCTCCAGGAGCGGCCAGCAGACAGCAGGGGGAGCTTGGAGCCCAAATGATCCAGCTCTGCCAGCAACCTCTGCCCCGTGCAGCCCAGGCTTTCCTGCTGGGACCCCCATGGCAGAGGTGCCTTGTTTGGGGCCAGTCGGTCATCCCCGGCCAGCAGCCACCCTTGGGGATGCCCATGGGGGAGGCTGAGAAAGGCCCTGAGGGCACCTTGGGTTGGATCCTGAGCCACCCTGGAGCCAACTCAGGGGAGCTGGGACTCAACCCCTAGCCCACCGGCCAGGCAGGTGGGGGGCCCCAGTCAGGGCTTGGGCAACGAGGAGCCCCGACCCGCATCACAGATGCACCAAGCCTGCTCGAGGGCAGTGGGAGAAGTGCGGCCCTCAGGATGCCACGTGCTCCAGGCCCGAAACCCTCTGGCTGGAGGGGCCCTCTGGAACTGCAGGGAGGACTCTGTAGCCAGGGTGGGGCTGGGGGCCGTGGGTGACCCTGGCTCCTTCCTTATTCTCTGAGCCCAGCAGCCACTTACTTGGACTCCTGTGTCACACAACCCTTGCCCCAGGTCTGCCCGCAGTGACACCCGCACACAGTGGGGCCTGCACGCAGTGATGTCTGCACACAGTGATGCCTGCACACAGTGGGGCCTGCCCGCAGTGATGTCTGCACACAGTGATGCCTGCATGCAGTGACACCTACACGCAGTGGGCCTGCCCGCAGTGATGCCTGTACGCAGTGGGGCCTGCACGCAGTGGGCCTGCCCACAGTGACGTCTGCACGCAGTGACGTCTGCCCACAGTGGGGCCTGCACGCAGTGACGCCTACATGCAGTGATGCCTGTACGCAGTGACGTCTGCCCACAGTGGGGCCTGCACGCAGGGCGTTTGCTCACGGCAGGTGCGTGCATGGTGGAGGCGGTGCCGCGGGGCTTTGGTCCAGCCTGGTCAAGGTGTGGAAAAGCCCCCGTCGCACCTGCAAGTCCCCCACCTGCTTGAAGGGAGCTCCTGGCTCATCCTACCAGGAACCCCGGGGGGCTCCGAAAGCCAAACCTCTGGTCTGCCCCTGAGCTGGGGGTGCCTGGAGAGTGTGGGGCCAGCAGCCGTGGGAACGAGGCTGGAATCCCGAGCAAGTAGAAAGGGGGCGGGGCAGGGAGGATGCAGCACCAGGACAGGTGGGGGCCCCGGGGCTCTCCAACCTGGGGGTCAACTGCGACTTCCGGGTCCTAAGTGTGGGGACCCCACAGGGTGGGACCCACTGCCCTCCTATCCAGGGATACAAACCACCCTGCCCACCACAGAGCCTGAATTAGGCCTCCTCTTCTTCCCCAGAAAACCTGAACAGCCCCCCATCCACCTCCCAGAGAGCCCAGACGGCCCCTGCGTATCCCATAGCCTGCCCGCTCATCTCTCCCACGGGGGCCCTGGTGGGTAGGACCCAGCTCGCACTCACACAGGGCTTGGAAAGCTGGGGCAGCTCCAGGGTGACCCCAGGAATCCCCAGGACAGGAGACATTGCATGCACACCACGTCATTTTCTGACCTCCAGGGAGCGCACTGCCAGGAAACTTGGGAGGCTGAGCGAAGGGCCTTCCCGCAAAGAGTCAGAGTGGGTGGGGGCGCGGGTTTCAATGGGCTCCAATGGGCTCCCTCCCTGGGCCACAGCCTCACAGCACCCAGCGTCCCAGCCAGGTTTGGAGCAGGGGCAGGGGTCTGCAGCCCCCAGAGGTGTCACACCCCTACTGCCTGCCTCTGTCCCCCACTTCTCTGGCCTTGGGACCCTGTCCCAAGGCGATGCTGACACATCTGACAGCCAGGCCGCCATGTGTCCCAGCCCGGGCAGCCAGTGGGTGGGTGGCCAAGGCAGCCTGGGCAGGAAATGGCAACGCGGTGGAGGGCCCTGGAACATTCCTCCAGCCTGCACACTCGCTGGTCCCTCTGGCAGCTGGTCCAGGACATGCCTCTGTCGGGGACTGGGCTCCCACACCCCGACACCCCCTGCTCTCCAGGCCCCTGTGTGTACAGGGAAGGCTTTGAGCACACGGCTCCAAACTGTGGGTCCCCATTCTCCCCTCGTGCCCCACCTAGGTCAGTCCCTGCGTCTGCCCCCACTCGGTGCTGCTAGTGCCAGCAGTATGAGGGTTTGCATTGGCTTTTGGCCAAACCCTGGAATGTGCCTGCTGGCTGCACGGCAGCTGTTCTTGGAACAGGGCGACAATGCACAGACTGTCTCTGAGACGTGGGCGGATGGGGTGCAGACTGCCCGGAGCTGCGCATGAACCCAGGCCCCGAGACAAGGGTGAATGGGCTCACACAGGCCGAGACACCGGTGAATGGTGTCCAAAGATGCAGCAGGACCTGGAACCGGCACTGGGGGCCCTCAGCCTGGGACTCGGCCTGTGTGAGGTGCGGGGCACAGGTGGCTGACGGCACACACTGCTAAGAACCCCTGATGAATGGGGAGCAGAGCACCCCAATACTCAGACTCACGGGGACACGTGGTCCAGATGCTCAGGAGGGGTGTATGAGCGACGGCACCCTGATTCCAGATGGGCATCTACAGTCACAGGCAAAGGGCATGTCGCTGGCTGTGCAGGGTCGTGGGGGGACAAGGCACCCAATTTTAGGGTCAGTGGGGTTCATGTCTCTCAGATGCTTCTGGGATTGTGAGGACTTCAGGCCTCTGAGGAAGGGGCACAAACCCCTGGAGGCTTAGGTGATGAAGCTGAGAATTCGTGAATAGGGCACAGGGGTGTCTGGACAGGGATGAATGTAGCTCCCACGGCCGAGACAGCCGCTGATGAAAGGGCAGCAGGCGTCCAAAGAAACAGGGGAACTTGGAACTGGCACTGGGGCCCTCGACCTGGGATATGCATCTGCGTTCGAGGCAGGCAGTGGGGGTTAGGCTGCTGAAGACCCTGACGGACAGGGTACAAGGCATCAAAGCCCTCAAGCAGCTAGAGAAGAGGGGGGCTCGAGGGCTTGGAATGTGGGTGCACAGCTCCCGACGCTGCAGGGGGCGAGGTAAGCCGTCGCACAGAGGGTTGGGGTGGAGCGTCCCGAGACCCGAAAACCCAGGGCAGAGTGCCCGTCAGGGTGATGGTTGAAGTCCTCACTACTCAGATGGTCGGAGGAGGGGGTAGGACACCCAGTCAGCTGCCGGACACTCAGGTAAGGAGGTACTGGAGCCAAACTGTCTGAGTGACTGGGTCTGCAGGACCTGAACCTTCACAATAAGAGGGCCCCCTGCAGTGGGACCAGAAGGGAGGGTGTGTGTCCAGACACGTGGGTGAATAAGGGCTATGCTTTCTGTCCTCAGGGGACTGGGGGCACCTTTGCAGATGTGTGCAATATCACCCACACTCTCAGAGGATTCCAGACACACACCACTCAGAAATGTGGGCTAGGAGCACCCGCTGCACCTGCGCTGAGAGAGCTGCAGAAAGGGTTACCAGCCCCTCGGGTGGAAGGAGACAGCCGGAGCTCTCAGGGTAAGATAACCTCACTTCTGACATATAGGGCACCACGACATTCAGAGTCCTGGGATCCACGCTGCCCAGATACTCAGACAAGTGGGGTATCAGGGCCCGTTTCTCTGTCATCCAGGTATTCGAGTGATTAGCGTTCCGGCTCCAGAACTGTCAAGAGGGCGGATGGACAGAAACTTGCCCAAGCCTCCAAGCAATGGGGTCCAGAGACCCAGACGCTCAGGCTGATGAGTGCAGGAACCCACACACTGACAGTAATGGGGTCCAGAGACCCAGATGCTCAGGCTGATGGGGACAGGAACCCACACACTGACACCAATGGAGTACAGGGCTCTAGGTATTTAGAATAATGGGGTACACGTGTCTAGATGTCAGTGAATTGAGGTGGAAGCTCAGCTCCTCAGAGGCACATTACAGAGCCATGGGAATGAGCAGCTCTCAGACAGGGCAGACACGAGGGCAGAGGAGGTGCACCCAGCAGTGAGATGCCTGGAGCACAGGACGTCCAAAACCACAGGAATGAGGCACCAGGCTCCCGGCCCTGGGCTGACACCCAGGCTTAAGTACCATGTGTCATGGGGGATTCAGAGGGTTCAACAGGTGGGGGGCACGCTGTCGTGGCACCCTGGTGACAACAGGAGACCAAGGAGGGGCAGGTCACCTGGCCCTGGGCATGAGGGAGGGGGCTGCACAGGCACTCAGGTCCCCAAGCTGTGTCTCCCAGGCACTCTCAGGCGTGGGGTGTAAAGATGCTGATGCCAGGGTTCCCCATGAACACAGACCCCCCTAAACAAGGTAAATGGGGTCCACACAAAAGTTGTGGGGGATCAGGCCCCTGCCATGAGGTCCCCAAGGCCCTTGGGAGATGAGGTCAATGCGGGGAGGACCGGGAGAACCCCCGTCCTCTGACATGGTGGCTGCAGTACCAGCCATTTGAGGAGTGGGTTACATGCCCCCAGACTTCCAGGTGACGGGGGTGGCCACCCAGACACTTCAAGACATGGGGTTTTCATCACCAAAATCCAGATGCAGATTCTCAGAGGATAGGAACTGAGCCCATGGAATCAGCACCAGCCATGTTCAGAGGGTGCAGACCCCCATGCCCAAGACGGAGCAGAGCCTCCCAGAGGCTCGGTGATGGGGTGCAGCCTCCACGGAGGCTCGATGATGGGGTGCAGCCTCTCTGGAGGCTCAGGTCATGGGGTACAGCCTCCCCGGAGGCTCAGGTCATGGGATGCAGCCTCCCAGAGGCTCGGTGATGGGGTGCAGCCTCCCCAGAGGCTCAGGTCATGGGGTGCAGCCTCCTCCCAGAGGCTCGGTGATGGGGTGCAGCCTCCCCAGAGGCTCAGGTCATGGGGTGCAGCCTCCCCAGATGCCTGGTTGATGGGGTACAGCCTCCCGGGATGAAGAGGCACAGACAGTATGCATGAAAGGTGAGTGTGGCACACACAAGCTAAGACACAGAGAATGGGCATAGGGCATCCCAAAGCACAGAGAACTGTGGCAAGCTGAGTTCCCCCATCCCCGGCCATCCCGGGCCCCAGCTGATGAGGGTGCCCCAGCCCTGCAGGGCTCAGCAGCTGGGGTCAGAGTGGGTGGGGCAAACACGCGCTCACCCAGCACACTTTTCTTTGTGTGCCAGTGACTCCTGGCTCCCCAGAGCCAGCGCTTGCTTTGCAGTCCAACCTCAAGCATTCCCCAGGCGACCTCAGAGGAAGCGTCCCCATCCAGGAGCCCCACCAGGGTCTCCATGAGGCTGCTGGCTGCCAAGCCACCGTCTCGGGGCCTCGGGACTGGCCTCGGGCTCCAGCTCTGTTTGGTTTTCTCCTTCCTGCCCTGGAACCTCAGACGCCAGTCTGGCTGTGAAGGCGCCCATATACTGGGGAAAGTACAAAGCCCCTACACAGCTGGCTGCAGAGAACCGCGCGCAGGGCACGTAGCTCAGCTGTACCCTGGGGCCAGCGTCGAGCCACCCCCTGCATGTGTCCCCTTGCTTGCCTAAAAGCCCCACTAGGGCAGCCTCTGGCCCTTCTCATCCCAGATTGAGTCAGACTAGGAGACAGACCCATACCCTGTGCAAACACCAGAAGGACGTACAAGTCCCCACACGCCCAGGGCCGCGTGTGACCGGACGGGCCCAGACGTGCACATGCATGCCCACACGTCCTCCTGCTGTGGCCCGAAAGCATCCTCGGAGCCTGGGCTATGTCCTCCACACTTGCTGCCTGACCAGCCCCGTGGGGCCGGCCCCGCTGGGACAGGTTTTCCCGTTAAGCATTAACCACCAGCAGATAAGGGCTCTGAGGGAACGCCCTGACCTGGGATGGCTGCTCCTCGGTAGGCCCAAGTCATGGATCTGACTAGAGTGACCAGACCAGACTAACTGGCAGAGCAGAGGGAGAGGAGCTTAGGCTATAGGCTCTGCTCGGGGGTCCAACTGAAGCAAGAGGCACTGAGGTTAGACCAGAGTGAGGACTTCCAGCCACTCACCCGGGGGCCAGCTGATAAGAGGATCACTCATTAGGAAACCAAGAACTCAAGGGATTGGGTCAGCCCAGCAGGAGACAAAGGCACAGAGGGGAATGGCCCGAAGGTGCCTGGGGCTGGAAGCAGAGGCAGTGGCGGAGCCAAGCCGGCCCACCTGGCTCTCTGTGAGCCCCCTGCCCCACACTGCCCAGGGCAGCCCCCGCCCGGCCCCTACCCTCCTCACACTTGGTTCCCCCCAGCCCACAGCACCTGAGGATGCCCTCTTCCAAGCCAGGCAGCCCTGCACCTCAGGACCCCTCCCCGTCGTGCAGAACCTGCTCAAACCAGGTTCAGCCAGGCCACCTCCTGCTGCCCCTCACCAAGGCCAGCCTGACGGGCCCATCGCCCCCTCCTGCAAAGCTAGGTAGGGCTCAGGGTGCCCCCAGCCCCAAGGGACCCTTGGAAATAGGCTGGAGCCCAGATGCTCAGCCTCTGCGTCTTGGGGAGACCTTCCTCCCAAAGGGAGTTGCCCAGCTATCACGGGCCAGCAGTTCCGGCCACAAGGTGGGGTTCCTGCAGCCCTGGCCCCCGCACCCCCTCCTACCCCAGGAGAGAGTTCCCCGTCACCAGAGGCAGTGCTGTCCGAGAGCTGGACCCGCCTTCGGGTGTCTGAGAGGAAGGCCTGGTGGCTGGCCGGCCACAGGAAGTGGTGGGCGTCAGGTGAGAGCATTTACACCTGGGGGGCTGCCAGCCCCAGCACTCGGGGAAACGTTGCTTTTCCAGAGGAAGGGCTCACGGAAAGGTGTTCCCACGGAAGCAGAAACCATTCCGTATAGACTCACCCTGGAGGGAAGCATTAGCAAGCCTGAAATGGTGCCCGCCTTGGGCTAACATGAAGTCTAAAGGAGGGGCTCACCCCCGTTCTGCCTGGTGGGGGCTGGGGGCCCTAACGGGGTGGAATTCAGCACAAAACGTCATGGCAGGTCTGGGGGTCCTGGGGTGACCAGGGAGGGTTCCCTGGAAGAGGTGGGCTCACGCTGGCCTTGGAGGGTGAGTCGGATGGGGATGCGGAGAGGCCTTCTAAGCAGCTTGGCAGCTGCAGGAGCAGAGCAGCCGCCTTCGTGGGGAGAGAGGAGCCGGTTTCCAGAGCCTTAAGGAGCCCGCTGGAGCGGTGGCCAGGGGGGAGCCGGGGAGGAGGGACCGTCTCCCTTTCCTGGGAAAACATGGCGTGAACTCCCAGAGAAGGTTTTCCCAGCAGGGCCACAGGAGACAGACAGCCAAAGCTAGACAACGGGGAGAGCAGCCCCGGGAGGCTCAGGCAGGGAGGGCGGGGGATTCCCAGATCTGGGAGGGGAGACCCGAGAGCCCCCAGCGCCCAAGGGTCTCCAGGGCACTGTCCCCGGGAGCCATGAGGGAGGCCGGGTCCCGAGGGGCGGACGGCGCCACCTGGTGGCCATGCGCCCGCTGCACCTGCACCTCCCTGGGGTCCCGGCGGTCCGGAGGGACCCCGCACCTCCCCAGGCTTTGGGACCCCCAGCATCGGCAGCCAGCGCCCCCAGGGTCCTGGGGTTCTCCGGAGCAGCTTCTGGGTGGCCCCTGTGCTCCTCTGGGGACAAGGTCACCAGGCTGGCCCGGGAGTGCCGCTGGCCGGCCGCGGCAAATCACTGCAGGGGAGCTCTCCCCGCCCGGCCCTGACTGTTCTTAGACTAAAGGAGGGGGGACGCCAGCAAAGCGGGGGCACAGGGGAGGGGCGCACGCACACGCACACGCACACATGCCCGCACTCACAGATGGAGATTCTGTATTGGCAACTTATCCGGAATCTCAACCATAAAAATCTGGAGTGAAGCTACTTTAATCTCAGCATGTATACAGGCTCTGACATTTCAAAAAGAGAAGTTGCCTTGAAACTCCACGTAGGGAGGAGGCAGTGGCCTGTTTGAATCTGGCCGGCACAGTCCCGCTCCAGGGACCCTGCGGACCCAGCCCATTCCATCAGCCACCACCAGTAGGAGCGCTCCGCCAGCCACGTGTGGGACGCCGGACCCACCTGGGAGTGTCCCCCAGGAGCTGAGGGGCTGCCGAGGCCCGTGAGCTTCACTGCACACCCACACTGCATCTGCAGGGGACTCACCCAAAGGGTCCCCCGAACTCGACAAGCTCCGTCATTTGTGAGGCCCAGTGCAGAATGAAAATGTGCAGCATCTTGTTCCAAAATTAAGAATTTCAAGATGGCCCCAGCACGCATTAAACCAAGCAGGGACCCCTCTGAGCATGGGGCCCTGCGCACAGGGTGCAGCCTGGAAAGCTGGCCCTGACCTCCGCATCTCCTTTTTGTACCTATAATCCCTCCATTGTGCTGGCCCCTGTGTTCTGGGGACAGGCTGGGCTTCCCAGGCCATGCTGGCCTCCAGAGCCACAAAACTAGAGCTCCCAGCCTCGGTCCACTCGTCTGTAAAACACCTGGCCTGCTGACCTCACAGGGTCAACATGCGTGTGGGGCTGGAACCTGGACCCTCCCTCCCCTCCTTGAGCTGCAGCCCCCTCATCTGAACACTGGGGGTTTGGGTCCGTTCTGGGAGTGCAGCTGCCTCTCCCAGCCTGCCAGGGAGTGGGGCATTGATGCTGTGTGCGCGTGCGTGTGTGTGTGTGTGTGTGTGTGTGTGTGTGTGTGTGTGTGTGTGTGTCTGGAGTCATGGCAGGGTCCCTTTCTGTCTGTCTCCTTGCTCTGCCCCAGACTGGGGGGCTGCAGAGGTGAGGGTATCTGGCCTCAACAGCTGCTTATTCCCGATGGGATGGCCTGGGCTGGGCCCCTGAGGCCAGGCTGACTTGGACATGGCAAGAGGGGTCCCAGGCTCTTGTGGGCAAAGCAGGGGAGGCGCCAATGTGGAGGAACAGAGTCTCCTGGCTGGCTGCTGCTCTCTGGAGCGGGTGGAGTCAGGGAAGAGCTGAGCTGGGGAGTCACCCTGGGCCTGGGGTCACCGTAGGCCCCATGTAGCACCCTGGTTCCCCTGCCTGTAGGTGACAGGAGCCAGCCCAGCCAGGTGTGCTCCCTCCCCAGGCCCTAGGCAGGCGGGTACAGGGGCCAGCAGCTGCGCCCGCCCCACCTTCCTTCCCACCCACATGCCGAAGGGTGGCCAGGCAGGCAGGTGGACGAGTCCAGGCAGCGGCTGAGTCAGTGTGTGTGGAATGTTCTGGCCGCTCCCAGCTGCACCCTGCCCCTACCTGCCACCACCTCACCTTCATCCTCAGGCGCTGCGGCCCTGAGCCCCTGCCAGGAATGCACCTTTAGCCCAGGCCTGCTCAGTGAGCTCCGCCGACAGCCAGCCCTGCTCCTCCCGCCATGACCCTGCAGACCCCTCTGGGCTTCCAAGTTCCTGGGGGCTGCAGTGAACATGCTCCACCTGCATGGCTGGCAAACCATGGTGGGCCCCAGCTGTGGTGCGTGCTGGGGTAGAGGCAAGGAAGTGATGGGACCGCAGAGATGAGACCCCCAGGGATGAGATGGGACCCCCAGGCAGGGCCCAGGGTCCAGGGCCCAGGAGAGAGAAGCAGGGAGGGAGAGAGCTTCCTGGTGGAGGACGCATCCTACAGTGGGGGCAAGGGTGCTCTGAGGTCCGGTGAAGGCAGGGACTAGGCTGCCCAGGCCCTGCCTGCTTGGCTGGGGCTGGGGGCTGCTGGGAGGTGGCTGGGAGGCTGGGCCTGGGCAGCTAAGCTGGAGCTTTGGCCAGGGTCCAGAGCCTCCCTCCCTTCAGCTTCCTGCTGCACAGAACCCTCGCCCCTGGCCACCCCGTGCTGCCTCCTTGCCCTGGCAGACCCAGCACTGGCTGCTGCTAGTCAGATGGGGTAGCGGGCAGGGGCCGGAGGGGCCACCCTCCCAGCTGACCCAGCCTCCTGGGCCGCTTCTTCCAAACCAGCAGGGTAGAAAGATGGGGCACCCACCAGTCTCTCCCAGTGCCCCGGCCCCAGCTGGCACCACAGCTATACCTGGGCTTATTCCAGACCTTGTCGCCGGGACCCCCTGTGAGTTGTGGGATTCCCAAGAGGGGTGTGGGGATAACCCAGCCAAGTGGGGGCTGCAGCTGTCCACAGATGCACTCAGCCTGGCCTCTACCCCAGGGCCCCGCTGGGCTCTCATTGCCGGCGCCCTTGCCGCGGGCGTCCTCCTCGTCTCCTGCCTCCTCTGTGCTGCCTGCTGCTGCTGCCGCCGCCACAGGAAGAAGCCCAGGGACAAGGAGTCCGTGGGTCTGGGCAGTGCCCGCGGCACCACCACCACCCACCTGGTGAGGAGCGGCTCCTTGCTCACTCAGTCCAGAGAGGGCTTGAAATCCAGGCTCCAGAGCCCAGGGCAGCGAGGCGAGTTCAGCCCCAGGGATGGTTTAACCCCCACAGAGGCAGGGCGTTGAGGACCTTCCTGGCAGGGAAAGTGGGTGAACAGAGGTGAGAAGGAGGCCATGCAACAGGGGCTGCCCCATGGGCCCGAGGGAGCCACAGCGGGTTCTTGAGGAAGGCAGGGGGTACCCCAGATGCCACGTTTTGGGTGGGTTTGGCCGGTCTCACAGAGCGAAGCCGACGATTTGTGCCTGTTGGGTGGCCTGGCCTGGAGGCGGGGGGTCTTGACCCATGTCATGCAAGGGCTGCCCGGGAGCCCAGGGCTCTGATGAGGCATGATGTCAGCACCACCTGCCCCTTGTCCCAACTCACTCCAGGTGCAACCTGATGTGGATGGCCTGGAGTCCAGCCCGGGGGATGCTCAGCAATGGGGGTGCCTGCAGCTCTCCCTGGAGTTCGACTTTGGAAGCCAGGAGGTGAAGGGCCCCGCTGCGCAGGACCAGCGGTTCTGCGAGTTTCCGGAAAGGGTGACGGGGGAAGGGCAGACCCCATGCCCTGGGTGGTGGGGAGCTGACAGGGCAGGGGCCCTTGGCTGAGCCCACCCCGCTGGCTCCCAGATCAGGGTGGGCCTGAGGCAGGCAGCCGACCTGAGGCCTGGGGGCACCGTGGACCCCTATGCCCGGGTCAGCGTCTCCACCCAGGCCGGACACAGACATGAGACAAAAGTGCACCGAGGCACGCTCTGCCCCGTGTTTGACGAGACCTGCTGCTTCCACGTGAGTCAGGGATGGTCGGCTGGGTGGGCCTGGACGGCTGGATGGGCCTGGGCTGGGTGGGCCTGGGCAGCTGGGTGGGCCTGGGCAGCTGGGTGGGCCTGAGCTAGGGCAGCAGGGCCTGGCTCACGCCGCTGCCTCAGATCCCGCAGGCGGAGCTGCCAGGGGCCACCCTGCAGGTGCAGCTTTTCAACTTCAAGCGCTTCTCGGGGCATGAGCCCCTGGGTGAGCTCCGTCTGCCACTGGGCACCGTGGATCTGCAGCATGTTCTGGAGCACTGGTACCTGCTGGGCCCGCCGGCTGCCACTCAGGTGAGGTGCTGGTCACCAGGCCACAGCCCAAGGCAGAGCTGGCAGGGACCCTGCCCTATGGGCCATCGGAAAGACAGGCCTGATGGGCAGCATTTTCGGGGGTCTGAGCCCCAACTCGGCCAGAATCACCCTCCCGGGCTGAAGCCCCTCTTGCTGCCCACAGCCCGAGCAGGTCGGGGAGCTGTGCTTCTCTCTCCGGTACGTGCCCAGCTCAGGCCGGCTGACCGTGGTGGTGCTGGAGGCTCGAGGCCTGCGTCCAGGACTTGCAGGTGAGGGTCACACCTGCCCACGTTGTTGTACAGAGGGGGGGCCCGTGCTCAGCCCCGAGCCCTGGGATGCCCCTTCGGCAACCTTGCCCTCCCAGAGCCCTACGTGAAGGTCCAGCTCATGCTGAACCAGAGGAAGTGGAAGAAGAGAAAGACAGCCACCAAAAAGGGCACGGCGGCCCCCTACTTCAATGAGGCCTTCACCTTCCTGGTGCCCTTCAGCCAGGTCCAGGTGGGCCACCGGGAGGCAGGGGCAGAGCGAGACCCAGTGCCAGACCACGATGACTGTGGTCTTTCTCCCCCAACTCCAACCTCTGGCCTGTCTCTGCACAGAATGTGGACCTGGTGCTGGCTGTCTGGGACCGCAGCCTGCCGCTCCGAACTGAGCCCGTAGGCAAGGTGCACCTGGGTGCCCGGGCCTCGGGGCAGCCCCTGCAGCACTGGGCAGACATGCTGGCCCACGCCCGGCGGCCCATTGCCCAGCGGCACCCCCTGCGGCCAGCCAGGGAGGTGGACCGCATGCTGGCCCTGCAGCCCCGCCTTCGCCTGCGCCTGCCCTTGCCCCACTCCTGAATGCACCACATGCCTCTGTCTCCCCGCTGAGCCCAGGCACTTGCCCAGGCCGCCCTGCAGGACCACTGCAATAAACGCCTTCTCCTGCCACTGTGTGTCCGGCTGGAGCCTGGAGGGGATGCAGAAATAGGGCCCGGGCCCGCTCACCAGGGTCCCCTGACAAGGACGGGGGAGGGGCTCCTCTCCAGACTCAGCCAGGCCCTGAGGCCTCTGACCGGTCCCTGCTTGACCCTCGGGTAGGGGTGGGGAACCTCCCCGGGGAGCACAGATCTCCCCTCTCCGGGCCGCCTGGGAAGACCGGGGAGGTGGGGGCCAGAGAGTCGGGACCACATGGGATGGGGCGGGCTAGAGCCAGCCCTGTAGGGACAGAGTGGGCAATGGTGTCTGGGGGCTGGTGAGCATGGAGGGAGGACCCCCAACACCTCAGAGACCTGTGCTGCAGGGCCTTCCCTGCATGAGCAGCAGGGGGCAGCAGATGCCTTCGGAAGCCGCTGGGGCCTTTAGGGGCTCAGTCCTGGCCGGATGCCCCTCCCAGTCCCCACACATCTGGGCTGCCTTAGCGGCTGGGGCCTCCACGCTGCTGTCTCCTCTGATCCTCCCCACGGGGCTGCGAAGCCGGCAGGGCTGGGGCCAAGAGCCCCCACTCCGAGAGGGTGCCAAGTCACGGTCCAGGGGACCTCTGCAGGGCGGGGGCCTGGGGGCTGGGGGGGCGATGGCCTCGGGCCTGGGTGAAAAGGGCAATGCCAGGCCTGCCCGGGCAGCCAGGAGGGCCCCAAGCCCCCACGGGTGTGAGAGGCTCCCAATGCAGGTGGCGCCATTCTCCTTAGGTTGAAGGATGTGTTCCAAGTCGCCCGGCAAGGGGACTGCAGCAGGGCGTTCTGGGCAGGCGGGAGGGGCCCAGAGGCACGTGCGGCGTGCCCCTCACTCCTGGTCCTGCTCCCCAGGCAGGAAGATAGCATCACGCAGGGAGGGGGCAGCCCCCAGCCCTCGGCCACTGTGGCAGGGCCCAGAAGGCCACATCTGGAGGTCCAGGCCTCACCCCAGAAGCCAGGCTTGCAGAAGGGGGTCAGGCCTGGGCTGAAGTGGGAAACCCATTGCAGGGGCTGAGCCGGGGAGCTGGCCCCGCAGGGAGAGGCTGTGGCTGTCGCCAGCAAGCAGCCAGGTTGGTGGACTGGACGCTGACCTCGGGTGAGATGGGCTGAGGCGAGGTGTGGATACTCGCAGCTACCCCTCAGCTGACCCGAGCTGTGTGCCCGGCTGAGGCCACAGGCAAAGCCAGGGACACTGTCCTCAGGCTCCTTACGAGAACGACAGAGGCATCTCCAGCGCGTCACCGAGCCCTAAATAGAGTAGCCCAGCCACGGCACCCCCCACCAAGACTTCTTGGACTGGGCGGCAGCACGCGGCCAGGCCAGGCGGCCGGACAGGTGGGGAGGTCTCTGTGGCTCTCCACGCCCCCATTGGTCTGAGGAGGACTCTATGCCCTTTCTGAGCAGGGGCCCAGCCTGGGGGAGGCCATTTATACCCCTCCCCCTGGGCCCACCAGCCCAACTCGCCGCTGCCGGCCTGACCTCGCTCCCAGCCCTGCTGCCCAGATTCTAGGTGAGGCCCAGCCCGGCCCGCCGAGGCCGGGGGACAGGGCGTGGCTCGAGCTGGTTTGAGGGAGGACTTCCTGGGGCGGGGGTCTGGGGGCCTG
Organism: Homo sapiens; assembly: GCF_000001405.40. Taxonomy (NCBI): domain Eukaryota; kingdom Metazoa; phylum Chordata; class Mammalia; order Primates; family Hominidae; genus Homo; species Homo sapiens. The sequence goes on from NW_021160004.1 coordinate 29,631, forward strand.
GGGGATGCCACCAGCAGCCCCCTTTGGGGCCTGCACGGGTCCGGGAGTGAGAAGGAGAGGCTTTGGGGAGGCAGCTGTAGCGAGAGGCAGGTATTAGACACTCCCTGACCACCAGGCTTCACCTCTGGGGACCCTGGAAGGAGAGTTTAGGGGTCAAGAAGCCCCAGAACCTGAGCCCCCAGGCCAAACTGAGGAGGGATTTCTTCCATGCACTTAGGCCCAAAGCCAAAGAGAGAGGGTTAAAAATAACAGCGTCACTCAGGCGGCCACCTGCGCTGGCCCATCCCACCCTCCCTCGGGGACAGCTGCAGCTCCTCAGGCTATGCCTGGGACATTTTGGGAACACTTTCTCCTCTTACTTCTCACCCTGGGGAATTCCAAGACATTGTCCTTGAAGGAGGTGAGAGTAGGGGGAGGAGGTGAGAGTAGGGGGTGGGCGGGAGGGGGCTGTCATCAGGAGCCCTGAACCCCTCACCACCTACCTGATGGGCACAGGCATCACGGTGGCAAGGGCCTGGCCAACACCTCTGTCTTCCTCTCCCCACAGGCTCCAAGCTCAGGACCTCAGGATGGGAGAGTAAGTGGTACCCCTGTACCCCCATACAGTGACCCTGCCCACCTCCTGCCCTGTCCACCCCATCACACACTCCGACCCCGCCAGCCATGGCCCTAACCTCTGTCTTCTCTCCCCGTCCTGCCTGCGTCCTCCCTCCCTGGACAGTGAGGAGGTAAGTAGTTGCTGGGGGCTCAAAACATGACGAGGAGGGGGCTCCCCCAACTCAGCATAGGTCATAGGTCACAGCCTCAAGGCCCTAAGGCCCAGAGAAGATGGCCTGGCCCTCCCCGCTGGCAAAAGTGCCCCACCCACCCACCAAGACGCTGCTGAAAGAGAGGAAGTGGCTGCCCCAAGCCTTCTGGGGCAGGGGAAGTGTGGCTGTGGCCTGGTCACAGGGGAATCACTTCTTCTTTCTGATTCCTGCACTTCCCGCCCCCACCTCACCGGCCGACCTGCCCCCAACTGGCCCTCCTCTCCCCCAGCCTCTGGCCTCCCAGCACCATGTGCCACCTGGCAAAGTGTCACACACCACACAGCACCATGTCCCAGTGCAAGGTCTGGGGCCAGGGAGGCCCAGCCTGCCCATCATGGCCTCAGGAGCCCCCAGGCTCTGCTGGTCCCGGAGCCGGAGCCCCTGACCTGGCCAGGGAGCGTGGAAGGGGGTGGGGGTGCTCCAGGCCTGGAGGCCCTGACTCGACCCCCTGTCCCCTGCCCTGCAGAAGCGGAACAGGGCCATCACGGCCCGCAGGCAGCACCTGAAGGTAGGTGTGGGCTCCCGGGGGGGTGGCCCAGGTGGGTCTGCAGGGGAGCTGGCTGCAGCCCCTCACCGCCTGCCCCACCGCAGAGTGTGATGCTGCAGATAGCGGCCACGGAGCTGGAGAAGGAGGAGAGCCGCCGTGAGGCAGAGAAGCAGAACTACCTGGCGGAGCACTGCCCGCCGCTGCATATCCCGGGCTCCATGTCTGAAGTGCAGGTACCAGCCCCTCCCCGGCCACCCCGCCTCCCCAGCAGCAGGCCTGCCTGCTAACTCAGTTTCCCCACTTGTCAAGAGGGCCAGTGGGGTGGTCAGGGCAGGGGCAGGTGACCGTGGCTGCCAAGTGTCAGGACGGCCGCCCGCCCCCACACCCACCCCTAGGAGCTCTGCAAACAGCTGCACGCCAAGATCGATGCGGCTGAAGAGGAGAAGTACGACATGGAGGTGAGGGTGCAGAAGACCAGCAAGGAGGTGAGTGGTGGCGGCGGGCCGGCGGCAGGCGGGTAGGCGGTGGCCCAGCGGGCAGGCGGGGCGGGCCGGGGAGGCCGAGACCACCGGGACCTCGGGCTCCCACCCGGCTCCCCTGCCCACAGCTGGAGGACATGAACCAGAAGCTATTTGATCTGCGGGGCAAGTTCAAGCGGCCCCCACTGCGGAGGGTGCGCATGTCGGCCGATGCCATGCTCAAGGCCCTGCTGGGCTCGAAGCACAAGGTGTGCATGGACCTGAGGGCCAACCTGAAGCAGGTCAAGAAGGAGGACACAGAGAAGGTGCGTGCCACGGGGGGAGCACCACCACACCTACCCTGCCGGGGAAGCACCTCCCACACCTGCCCCGCCTGGGGACCACCTCCCACACCTGCCCTGCCGGGGGCCCTGTACCACTGCCCCTCCAGGGTGCCATGCAGGGGACACTCCACTGCCCAATGCAGAGGGTAAACTGAGGCTGAAGGTGGTGTGGACCAGGGTGCGTGCATAAGTGGGTGAGCCTGAGCTCTCTCCTGCCCTCTCCTCCACAGGAGCGGGACCTGCGAGACGTGGGTGACTGGAGGAAGAACATCGAGGAGAAGTCTGGCATGGAGGGCCGGAAGAAGATGTTTGAGTCCGAGTCCTAGGCCACTCGCTGCCCCTACGCCTGCCCCGGTGCCCGGCTCCCAGCAGAACATACTAGGGAGATGCACCCAGAGCCTGCCAGGGAGGGCTGGCCTCACCACCACCGTCAATAAAGGATTTGAATCCCCATGGCTGGTCTGGTCTGGCTCTCCCCAGCCTCTTGGGCCATGCTCTGGGCCCCCGCATCGGTGGCCTGCAGTGTGGTCAGTGGCCAGCGGGGAAAGCCTGGGAGGAGGCCACACGGGGCCTGGGATTTCAGGTTGGGAGGGAAGCTGCTTCCAGCAAGGAGGTGAGCCTGGGAAGGCCCCTACAGGGGAATCCACCCCAGGCTGCACGGGGCTGTTTGGTGAGGGCCCTGATAGTGCCCCAGGCGTTCCTGGGGCTCGGCCTGGGCACATCCAACATGCAGGGCTGGGGATGGAGGCTGTGGGACCGAGCCAGGTCTGGGTGGGAGTTCCTGAGATAAGTGGGTCTCACATTTGCACAGCCACGCAAAGGCCCTCCCGGGGCTCCAGAGAGATCCACACATGTGACACACGTGTGGCCCCCGCAGTGCTGGGGGCAGCCCCCTATGCCTCCCAAGCTGCCCCTCCTCAGGGAGCTCATCTGAGGCAGGAAGCCAAGGGCCACATTAGACCCCAGGCTGCTGTCCACGCGTGCCCACCCCCAGATCCTCCTGCTCATCCCCCTCCCACATCACTTTGGGACAGACCCCCAGCCCCGGGGCCTCCCTGCTTTTCCTATCTGCCCCCTGCCCTGAGCACTGAGGCTGGGCACGGGGAGCGTGGAGGGGCGAGCCTGCACGGTGGGCCATGACCAGGCCAAATTGGCAGTCTCCGGGCTGGGGACCAGCATGGTGCTGGGGGTTGGCCAGCCTGGTCTCTGGTCCTTACTGCCACCCTGAAAGGCAGGCTGTGTCACTCCTCACCATGCCAGGGGACCAAGAGACCTGTGCCCATCAGGCAGGGGCTAGGCCTGGCCCTGACCTGGCTCCAGTGTGGCTCCCAAGTCTCGTTTCCACTCAGCCCCAAGACCCAGCCCCATCTGGCCACCAAGGACAAGGCAGCTGACAGGTTCTGACAAGGCCGGTGACAGCAAGGCCACGTTATCAGCCCTGCTCTTTGAAGGCTGACAGAGCAGGCACGCCAAGGTCCCTGTGCTCAGATCTGCGCTGGGGAGGCTGCCAGCCTGCGCTGTGCCCTTGCCCCCGGGAGGTCCCATCGATTGATCTGCCGGAGGTGGACGTGCAGCGGCAGTTCCGCCTCGGGCTGCCTTGAGGGACTGACGTCAGTGGGCTCCCGGGACGGCCTTGGCTGTGTGCAGTCCCCTGCTTCCCGGGTACCCTACAGCCCTGGCACTCAGCTCTGACCTTTTCTGTAGCTGGAGCCCCACGCCAGTCCGAACCCCCCACCCGGGCCTTCTCCTTTAGCCTTCTGTAGGGGAAGGCACCGAGCAGGGCAGCTTGGGGCCAAGGGGGCACTGCCTGGTGGGTGCAGCTGTGGCAGAGGTGCATGGCACCCCATGCCAGAATGATGGGACCAGGCAAGGCCCAGGGTGTAGGAGGCCATGAGGCACAGAAGTGAGGCCCGAGACCTGGCCTGTCGGGGGGAAGCTGCCCAAGCCCAAGCCTCAGCTGAGACCTGAGGGAGGACAAGTGTGGAGGCAGAGGGTGCTGCAGGCTGGAGCACGTCCCATGCAGAGCCAGGCAGGCAACAGGCAGAGCGAGGGACAGGCGGCGGTGGGGCCTGGCCATGGACCCCTTGCAGGGGACATGGCACCTTTCCAGAGCCTGTGCCTACTGGGAAAGGGGGCGGGACCCAATCCCACAGGGCGTCAGGGGGGTGTGGCAGAGGAGTTGGGGCAGGCGCATCACACCTGGCTGCCAACCACAAGATTCAACTTGGCCGGGGCAGACACGCTGTGTGGGAAAATTATCTTTTTTATTTCAAAGCAAGGAAATGTTGAACACAAACACGAAATTCCAAAGAGTGACCCTCTGGGGTGAGTGGGGTGGGGGCAGAGCAGGGGCAGAATGGAGACAGGACCCCTACGCTGATGCAGGTTTGGGGGATGTTTTAATTCTTGGGCTGGATAGTAGATGCACGGGTGTTTGTTAAATTTCCAATAGATGAGTGAATGAGTAAATGAAGGAGTAAGTGAGAGGCCTGCGGAAAGCAAACCAGCAAATATCAAACCGGCGCCCCTCTGAGCCCGGCTCCGTCCCTCTCGGGTGATTCTGGTGTCCCTGCTGGAAGTGAGGCCTGCAGCCAGTACCCCATGGGGCTGTCCCCCAGCTCTGCATTCTAGAAAGGCCTCAGCAGGGTGGAGCACAGCGGAAGTCACCGCTGGGTTGGGGGGTGAGGAATGGAGACGTGGAAGGGGCCGGGTCCCCAGGACTTGTTGGCTGAGGGACATGAGGAAGGCAGGCACCTTGCTGGGGGCACGGGTGGGCAGAGACTGTTCTCCAGGGCAGGAGCCGTGAGAAAGTGGCCTTGGGAGGAGGTGAGGCACTCACTTTGGGGCTGCTGGGTTTGGGGGCCCTGTGGAAATTCCGAGGGGAGACCTGGCCCAGGCAGCTGGAGCAGGGGCTGGGCTGGAGATGTGGATGTGGGTGTCCTGGGTGGTGAGCCGATGGGCAGAGGTGCCTAAGGCCAGGGCGAGAGGAGACGAGGGGGAGGGTAGGGACAGCCAGGGCAGCCGGGGCAGGCACCATGAGCCCCAGGGGAGTCCCGGAAGAGGAGGGGGACAGGCCCAGGGCAGGGGTTGTGGGCAGCCCTGTGCGTGGCTCTGGAGGTCGGGGAGGACATGGCCTCTGAAGTCCCAGGTAACCCGTGCTGGGCTGTGGCCAGGAAGGGGTTGGGGAAGACTGGGCACAGCGGGCCAAGGAGGGAGGGGTGGGAGGAAGTGCACGGGGCACCCCTGGAAGTTGCGGCTGCTGGAGACAGAAGGCAGGGGTTCCTCGGGGGAGGCAGAGGTGGGTGCTTCTGCACACGCGGGTGTTTCCTGCTCTGCCGCTGAGCCACTGACATGCAGACACCCCAGTGTCCAGGAGCAAACCGGGCCCCAGGCTCTGCTCCCTAAAACCGTCCTCCCCTGAAGGACCCAGGGCTCCTCGGAAGAGAGGTTGACTGCAGGGTGGGGCAGGAAACGTGCAGGAAGAGCCTGACATGTCCTTTCTGCTAGGAGGCCGTGGTGACGCAGAGGGCCTGCCCTGTGCCCCCGCTGATGGGAGCGGCCATCAGGACACAGACCGGCAGACAAGATAACAAGCAGTGTCCGCGGTAAATGTGCTCAAGTTCATAGTTACACAAAACAACATCTGCATTCCAAGGAAACAGACCTTAAAATCTTCAGGAGGAAAGGAGGGAGACAGAGAGACAGAGAGACAGAGGCAGAGAGACAGAGACAGAGACAAACAGAGACAGAGAGACACAGAGACAGAGACACAGAGACAGAGACAGAGAGACAGAGACAGAGACACAGAGACAGAGACACAGAGAGACATGGAGACAGAGACAGACAGAGGGACACAGAGACAGAGACAGAGAGACACACAGAGAAAGACAGAGAGATGGAGAGACACAGAAACACATAGAGAGAAACACAAAGAGAGACAAAGAGGCAGAGAGAGGGCAAGAGACAGAGGGACACAGAGACACAGAGGCAGAGAGGCAGAGAGACAGAGACAGAGGCAGAGAGAGAGACAGAGACAGAGAGACAAGAGACATAAAGACAGACACAGAGGCACAGAGGCAGAGAGGCAGAGGCAGAGACAGAGAAGCAGAGAGACAAAGGCACAGAGGCAGAGAGACACAGACAGAGGCAGAGACAGAGAAGCAGAGAGACAAAGACACAGAGGCAGAGAGACACGGACAGAAGCAGAGAGAAAGAGACAGAGGCTCAGAGAAACAGAGAGGCTGAGAGGCGGAGAGGCAGGGGTCGAATGGCAAAGTGGACATGTGCCCTGGGTGAGGGGGGTACAGAGGCACCTTGTCAAATTCTTATTCTTGAAACTTCTCTGTGGGTTTGAAATGACTTCCCCCAAAGCTAAACTTTTCTTTGAACGTTAAAGCAATACAATTCGTAAGCGACAACAAAAACAGATGACATGAAAAATACCACAAGTTAACAGAGAGGACCTCACAGGGCTCAGGTGTGGGCAGAAAGGTGCCCCAGAGGGTGTGGGGGACTTCGGGGTGGTGGAGGAGGCTGAGGACTGTGTGTGTGCCCCTGGCTGAGGGCCGAGGGCGGGGCTGGGTGCCAGGCCCCCGGGGACACCTTGGTTAGGGTTAGGGTTAGGGTTAGGGCCAGGGATCCAAGGCTGGAAAGTTGCCTTTCAGGGACTGCAGGAGGGAGGCCCGGTGCCCTGGCCATGCTGGGCGCTGGGTGGAGCTAGGATGAGGCAGGTCACGGGGCTTCATTCTCTCCGCAGGGCTGGACTCAGAGGGGGCTTCCCCCTGACCTTCACCCCCTCACGCACTCGATCAAGGGGAAGCCAGGAGTGGGGTCCCAGAGGGGGACACAGAGTTCCCCCATGAATGTCCACCTGCTGGACCCCCTGTGTGGTCCTCAGGGGTTCCCTGGGCCTCCACCGAGGGGCCCCCGGATCAGGGCTGGGCTTCACCCTCTCTCTCCAGCTGCACCTCACCCCTGACCTGTGCAGCCCTGTGTCCTTTTTGTTCCCCTGGCACCGGCTGTGCCTGGGCCCAGACCCACCTTTGCAGGCCGGTGCCTGGCTCCAGCCATCCTTGGAAAGCTGAGTCCGGCGCTTGCCAGGGCCTCACCACCCCCACTCCTCCGGCTCCGGCTCTCCCCAGACAGCCCTGGAGCCCAGGGTTAGAGCTGCCTCTGTGGCTCAGCCCCCACTCCACCCCAGTGGGCTGCCCAGCCTTAGTTTACCCAGATGTACAATGAACATGGAGATGAGAGCGCCTGCCTCACTGGACCACCAGGTAGGCAGGGACCCAGCTGGCACCTCCTGCCTCCCTAAACTCCTCTCCTATGTGCCCCCCAGAGTCAGCCCGACTCTCCCCCAGCCCCAGCAAGGCCTGGCTCGGCGCCCTGGACCACCCAGCTGCTGAATATCACACCAGGACCACCAAGCCTGCCTCTGCCCCAGGCCTGGAAGCTTCTCCCCACTCTCCCTGTGGCCATCTCCTTCACACCCTTCAGTTCCAGCATGGTCACCTCCTCCGTGAAGCCCTCCGTGAGTCCCCCAGCCATCTCTGTGACTTCTCCTGGTTATTTTCCAGAATGACCATGGACTTGTTTTTTCATTTGTTCACTGTCCGTCTCTTCCTCTGGGAGGGAAAATCCACGAAGTCAGGGACCTGGAGTTATTTGCAGCTGTGTCAGTGCTGCTGGGGCGAGGCATACACCTGTGACGGGACCTCAGGACGGGGACACGGGTCTGCATGAGGATTGTCTAACAGTCCCTACAAGACGCTGGGGCCACCATGTACACTGGAGTCCTCTGGCAGCCAGTGTTCCCCGTTGTGCGGGGCTGGCCGTGACCACGCTGGAAACCCCCCGATCCCCTTGTTGCTCCTGCCCTCCTGCAAGCACCTCCGCCGCCTCGACAAGCACAGCCTGGCCCCAGGGCCTCTCCCTCCCCTGGCCCCAGTCACCCCTACCTCCTCACCACCCCCTGTCATCTCCCATTGCTCCCCCTCCTTGCCAAGCTGCTCCTGACTCCCTGTCCCCTCCTCGAGCCATCGGGAAGGCCTGCGTCCTGGCAGGCTCCAGTCTCTGCGGCTGCCCCTCCGGCAGGCCGCCGAGAATCAGCGCGGCATTGGGCCAGGCACGGTTTCCACGAGCTTCCTCCTTCTGATCCTCCCCTCCGCCCCCCCCACCAAGCTCCCCAAAATCTCTCACTCACACCCCAAATCACCTGGGCCCCCCACCTCAAACCAGAGGCCATCGGGGCAGAACCCAGCAATTGTCACCGCCCTCTCACGAAGCGTCCCGTGCCCCCCGGAGCACATGTCCACAGCGAGGCCCTTCACGGCTCTCAGATCAGCTCCCCGCCTGCAGGTCCCAGCCGGCCCTGCTGTCGCTGCAGGTTGAGCTTCTCATGAGTGAAGGCCCCGGTCACTCTGACGCCGCCAAATAGTGGAGACAACACCAAGCTCTAAAGATTTTCAAAGGGAGAGAGACAAAAAAAAATGAAGGCCAGGTGTGGTGGCTCACACCTTTAATCCCAGCACTTTGGGAGGCTGCGTGGGGAGCCTCGAGCTCAGGAGTTCGGGACCAGCCTGGGCAACAAAGTGTCTCTACAAAACAATATGAAAATTAACCGGGTGTGGTGGTGTATGTCTGTGGTCCCAGCTAGGGAGGTAGAGCTAGGCTGAGGCAAGAGGACTGCTTGAGCCCGGGAGGCAGAGGTTGCAGTCAGCCCAGATCACGCCTCTGCACTCCATCCTGGGCAGCAGAGCAAGACTCCATCTCAAAAAATAAAAGCTTTGAGAATTTAAAGAAAGAAAAAAAGAAGAAGAAGGCCAGGCTGATGACTCACGCCTGTAATCTCAGGATTTGGGAAGACCAAGGTGGGCGGATCACTTGAGGCCAGGAGTTTGAGACCAGCCTGGGCAACATAGCAAAACCCTATCTCTACAAATTAAAAAAAAAAAATAAAGTAAAAACTAAAAGCAAACAAAATAAATAGCCAAGCTCTCCGACCCAAGGCCTTTTGTGCCGACCGACGCCCATCTTCTCTGACCTGGCCCATGTCTCTTTGCGCCTGCTGGAGAGCTTCTTCCACTCTCAGCTGGCCCTGAACCCTGGGCTCCCCCAGTACTGCCTCCCCACCCCGCCTGGCCTGTCCGCTCTGCTAGGGGCAGCTGTCTGGTCACTGCCCTCTCCTGGCATCCCTCCGATCCACCCGGCCCCCTCGAAGCCTTCCCTGCCCCTTTCCTGTCTGTCTCTGTCCCCGTTGAGAGCTTCTCTTCCTCACTCTCTTCACTCCTGGGCCAGATTCCCAAGCTCACCAGTGGCCACGGCCAGTGGAAGGAAAGGGGCCGAGTGACCCCAGCTCGCGTGCAGGGAGAGGGCACAGCCCCCAGCTTTGCTCCCCACAGCAAACCCCTCCAGCACCTGCGTGTGCCCACAGAGTGATTTGCCAGGGAGGGGCGCTGCGGGATGGCCTGTACTGCGGGACGTCCTTTCCAGCCCATGGTGCCAGCACACAGCATCTCCTGCCCAGGCCTCTCCCTGCTCGGCTGGGACTTCTACACGCACCTCCAGCCTGCTACACAGGTCCCAACCCCCGGCTTCTCCCCTCAAATCCAGGTCTGCACCTCTCAGACATCTGCCTTGTGGCCTCTGCACCTGGAGTGTCCCTGTGTCCTGCCCGCCTGGCACAGAGCTCCTCCTGGCTCACCCCTCAAGGCTTCCCTGCTTGGCTCCATCCCCCGGAATCTGATGCCCTCAGCTGGCTCCATCCCAGAATCCAAACTAACTCATCACCTGATGCAGCCGCTTGCTGGTCCCCGTGCTGCTCGCTGGACCCTGCACCAGATTTGGAGACAGGACAACGGAGGGGCCGGGGTCTGCCCTCCACACACCTCCCTTAGAGTTTCAGGCACTGAGGGAAGAAATGATTCTGCATCTGATTCTTGGGTAGACTCTTAGCTCTTCAGAGGAAGGCTCTGTTCCTGTTTAACCTCCCACCCAGCAAGGCCCACACCGTTCTCAAACACGCATGCACTGCCCGGGTGCAGTGGTTCATGCTTGTACTCCCAGCACTATGGGAGGCTGAGACAGGAGGATGGTTTGAGCCCAGGAGTTCAAGACCAGCCTGGGAAACATGGTGAGACCCCATCTGTACACACAAAAAATTTTTTAATTAGCTGGGCGTGGTGGTATGTACCTGTGATCCCAGTTATTTGGGAGGCTGAGGCGGGAGGATCACTTGAGCCGAGGAGGTAGAGGCTGCAGTAAGCCCTGGTTGCACCACTGCACTCCAGCCTGGGTGACAGAGCAAGACCCTGTCACACACGCTCGTGCGCACACACACACACACACACACACACAGAAATGCCCGGACGGCCTGAGGGGTGGCTGGGCCCTCACTGGGGACACCTCCTCCCTTGCCCACGCCTGCCAGTCCAGGCTGAGTGGAGAGAAGGGCTGGAGGCAGGGGCTTGGCCAGGGAGGGAAGGAGTGAGAAGCGGGCGGCCACATGGGCTGGGCAGCCTCCGGGATGCTCTTTGCTTTTGTTTTTTTGTGAAAAGGTTGAGTGATTTGCACATCAACGTGGAGGGTGTAGGGAGGAGAGGCTGGGGGACCGGGAGGAAGGTGGATGGGCCGCAAGATGGCCCTGGCGTCTGCGGAGGAGTAGCTGAGTGAGAGAGCAAGAGTCTGCCTTCTCCACGACGGTGATGTGGGCAGGAGAGAGGGCTGGACGGCCACAGGAGGACACCCTGCACCCTGGCTTCCCTTTCCTCTGCGATTCGGGAGGTGAGGGCGTACATCTGCTGAGAAGGCCTCCCAGAGCCCCGTGAGCATCCTGGAGTGTGCCTATTCCTCGGCCTGGGTTCCTTGAGAACAGGCAGGGCTCCCCCACGCCGTGGCCTGCTTGTGAGACGTGTCGCTGGAGGGGTTGTCCTGCTGCCCTGTGGCTGCCGTGACGTTGAGCTCCCACATTCTGGAAGTCCGAGATCCTGGGGTGGGCAGGACTGGTTCTCCTGAGGCCTCTCCCACTGCTGGGGGTCCCGGTGCCCCTTGGTGCAACTGTCTTGTGGATGCCTCACCCTCATCTCCACTGTCTTCTCATGGGGAGCTCCCCACCGTGGGTGTCTGTGTCCCGTGTCCACATTTCCTCTTTTTTTTTTTTTTTTTTTTTGAGACAGAGTCTCACTCTGTCACCCAGGCTGGAGTGCAGTGGCATGATCTCAGCTCACTGCAATATCCGCCTCCCGGGTTCACGCCATTCTCCTTCCTCAGCCTCCCAAGTAGCTGAGACTATAGGCACATGCCACCATGCCCGGCTAATTTTTTTTTTTTTTGTATTTTTAGTAGAGATGGGGTTCCACCGTGTTAGCCAGGATGGTCTTGATCTCCTGAGCTCGTGATCTGCCCGCCTCGGCCTCCCAAAATGCTGGGATTGCAGGCGTGAGCCACCGTGCCTGGCTCACATTTCCTCTTTTTGTAAGGAAACCAGTCACACTGGCTGAGCGGTCACCCTCCTCCACCGTGACCTCATCCAGCTAATGACACCTGAAGCAACTCCGCTTCCAAACACGGTCACGCTCTGAGGGGTTAGGCTAGGGGTAGGGTTAGAACTTCACCATATGAATGTGGGTGAGGGGCATGATTCAGCTTCAACAGGGTTGGGTAGGCAGAGGGGAGGAGGGCACACTCTCCAAGCCCTTGGGGCAGGCCGATCGTCACCCCAGCCTTCAGCTCCAGGGCCTGTGGGCCTCCCCCTCCGCCCGAGCGGCTTCGTAGACCTGGGGCTGAGTGTGGTTTTGTGCTCTGTGTCTCCCTCTTGAAATTCTTAGGGTTTTTTTGTTTTTGTTTTGTTTTGTTTGAGATGGAGTCTAGCTCTGTCGCCCAGGCTGAAGTGCAGTGGCACGATCTTGGCTCACCGCAAACTCCGCCTCCCAAGTTCAAGCGATTCTCCTACCTCAGCTTCCCGAGTAGCTGGGCTTACAGCCGCCCGCCACCACGCCTGGCTGATTTTTATATTTTTAGTAGAGATGGGGTTTCACCATGTTGGCCAGGCTGGTGTCAAACTCCTGACCTCAAGTGATCCACCTGCCTCGGGCTCCCAAAGTGCTGGGATTACAGGTGTGAGCCACCGCACCCGGCCAAAATTCTCAGTTTTTGAACCACAGGGTTCTGCATTCTCATTTTGCTCTAGCTCCAAAAGTGAGGCAGCCGGTCCAGCCTTCGGGCAGTAGAGGGCAGGAGGGGGTGGACCCCAGCCTCCACCTGCCTGTCCTCTTCCTGGCAAGGTTCCTGAAGCTCCCAGCGACGATGCTGGGGCTGCCCTTCTGCAGGCCAAGGGAAGGACCTCAAGGGCAGGAGGACACAGGCATTGCACCTGCCGATGCAGTGCCTGGACGGGTGGGTGAGCGGAATGGCTGCAACCTGGAGGCGAGACCCTACCACCATGAGGGGAGCCGTTTCAGGATGGCCTCAGGATGGAGGCCGCATGGTGAGAACCGCAGGGCTCTGCCATGTGCCACTCTGCAAGGGGGACTTGGGGGCCCTTAGGGACCCCCAGGGAGGAGGCGTGGGGAAGACACAGGCATGGCCTGTTCATCTCCATGGCGCTGGGCCTGATCTGGTTTTAGCCCTGCCCATCGTCTGGGCCACGGATCCCTCTGGTGCCTCCACTCGTGGGGCTCTGAAAGCCTCTGCTGGTCTTTGTGGTGTGTTTGGTGGGTGGGGGGCTCGCTGAGTCCCAAGGAGGCGGCCTCCGGTTCGGCCCCACCCTGATGGGTCAACACTCTGGGCCCAGGGCCCTCCCAACCCCTGGCCTCTCTCCAGCCCCTCTTTGCCTTGGGACCCCCTGTAAGTCCTTGCTGGTTGGATTTCTCAGGCCCAGCCGCTGGCCAGGGCTCCCTTCTCCCATTCTCCTGCGCTGAGGTTTCCAGCAGGGAAGCCTTCGCCACCTCTGTGGCTGCCCTACTCTGGCCCAGCTTAAGTCCTCCCCTGCCTCAGCTTTTGGGGTCTGGCTCCTGCAGTCATGCATCCCTCCTCCTGACCCTGGAGCCACTGCGTGGTCACTCCCAGAAGCTGGGGACAGTGAGGGCTGGAAACAGCCTCCATCCCTCCCCTCGGGCTGGCCTATGCCTCTTGGGAGGGTCCCTGAGGCACTGCCTTTAGAGCCTGGGGACACGAACCACTCGGTGGTCAACTCCAGCGACCAGAGCACGGAGAGCAAGGGGCAGCGGGGGGACGAGGCGGATGCCCGACAGCTCGGCATCAGCAAGGCAGTCCAAGACAGAACAAGGCACCCGACGGGTAGAACGCAGGGGCATCCCGGGCACAGCCCCCAAAGCCACCTGGGACCCACAGCTGTTTGATGTGCTCAAGGCTATGACCCCAGGCTTCGAGAAAAGACTCCACCAAGTTCCATGAGCACCTGTAGGAGAGCCGGCCTCTGGGTAGATTTCACCCAAAGAAGCTAAAACGCTCACGTGGTGCTTATGGGATCACAGACGTGTTTGTCCCTGATGCTGCAGGAGAACTGGCCACTCACAGGTGGACCTGATGGCCAGAGCTACTAGCGGGGACCAGGGGTAACATGGGTCCCCCTCCCCGAGCCATGAAGAGCTGCCTGCGGCCATCTTGGCCCTCGCACCCCGTCTCTGTCACCCCAGGCCCCTGTAACTTGCTTAACGCTTCCTGAGGGGTGGTTTGGGTTTTTTTTTTTTTCTTCCTCTCCTCTTGTAGCAACAGATTAAAAAACAACACCCTGACCCAAGCCGAGACAGGTTCCAAACCTCAACCTGCAGCCGGAAGGGGGAAGTGAAACTCGGCTGGGGGTGGGGGCTCAGAAGCCGCCCCAGAAAGCACTGAAAGCCACAGCACGTACACCCACTCCAGGGATCTGCCAGCACCCTGTGGGGCCCAGACTACAGGCTGATGGCGGAGGCTTCGAGTGACCCGGGTGCCGAGGAGCGGGAAGAGTTGCTGGGGTAAGGGTCTGCGGCGACGCCCGGCGCCCTGTGCCGTGTCCACGGGTGCATAGTCCTTGAGCTGCATGGAGGGTGGAGAACTGAGGTGCCTGATGGGGAATCTGGGGCCCCCAATGGGAGAACTTGGATGTCCGATGGGGAAACTGGGGACCCACAGACAGGTGGCAGGAAGTCTTGCTGGGACCCCCCTCTCACAACAAGGGTGGAGGTCTCTTCCGCCTGCCTCTGTGCCCTGGACTCACTGGGGGAGGCGCGTGGGATCCTAAGCCCATGGTGGATGCCTGAAGCGAGGAGACCCCAAGACGTGTCCTGGACTGCCAGGGAGGAGCTGGGGACTGTGGGCCCTGTTAGCTTGGGAAGAGGCAAGGTGGGGGCTGGGGAGCAGCTGTTCTGGGATGGGTGGAACTGGCCCGGGCCTGGCCACCTGCCCACAGGACTATCTGAGAGGGGCTATCCTGCCTTGAGGGTCTGGAGGCCGCCAGGCTTGGGGCCCAGCAGGCCTCAGGGCAGGGCACCCAAAGCTGCCCTTGACCTGCGGTAAAGGACAAGGCCAAGGATTCTGGCAGGTGCCTGTGCTGGGTGCCAGGCACCGTGTGTTGGTTGGAGTGGGGACATGAGGGGGCATGGCAGAGGTTGTGTGTAGGACTGCCAGAGCTGGGCAGAAAAACCCCGCTGCCAAAGGCCTCCTAGCGGGCAGCTGTACTCTGTGGTACCAATGGGCATCCAGCCCTGTGCTGGGGTGGGTGGAGAGGGCTAGCGGCTTAGTAACTGGGCTCCCTGGCAGAGGGGAGCTGCCGGCCAGCAGGCATCCAGGCATCACAGCTGAGCCTCGCCAGGGGAACCCGAGTTGCCCCCGGTGCAGGTCCCAGAAGAGATGGGAGGGCTCAGGGCGTGCGGTGCAGGGACAGGTAGGGCTTTGAGGGGCAGAGGGGCGACGTGCTAATGGTCAGGGGATGGGGATCCGGTGCTGGGGATAGAGGCCGGCCTAGGAGCAGGTCAGCGGGGGCTGTGGCCTGGTGTGCGGAAGGGAAGGCGCTGGGGCCCAGGTTGCAGAAAGAGTGTGATGCCCGCAGCCACACAGGACGGACCTGAGAGGAGGCCCAGGGTGACGCTCACATACCCCAAAACTGCAGCCAGGGCTGCTACCAGTCTCTGCCTTGGTGCTGACAGCAGAGGGTCCCGGTCTACCCGACCCGGGGCGGTGCAGGGACCACCTCCCGGCCTTCACACAAAGCTCCTGTGCTGTTGGTGGCTGCAGTCACTGTCCTGTGTCTGTGTCCTTGGTGGCCGTCACATTGCTGTGGGTCTGGTATGTGTGAGGGGTCTGCATCTCTGACTTCTTGCTGCCAAATCCCACTTGGGTACAGGTGCGGGGGGCCACTGAAGGGACCCCGAGTGCCGTGAGTGGAGTGGAGGCTAAGCAGAGGCCGGGGCTGGCTGAGGGCTGGGTCGGGACGTCCGTGCCTGTCCCCAGGGAGAGGTGGGAGGATGCCCTGCCCAGGCCGTGTGCAGGGAGACAGGCTTCTGGGTGCACAACAGCTGTGTCCCAGCTGCAAAACGGGCCCTCCTGTCAGCACCACCCCCAGCCCTGGACTAGGTGCTGCTCCTGGTCACCTCATGCCCATAGAAGGGCAGGACATGAGCCTCTGGGCTGGGGCACCCCCGCCTTCCTCCTTGGCCTCATCCTTGGCCACCCCCTCCCAGCTGTCTCAAATGCCCTGGATCCCCCGGGCCAGGAGCGGGGAGGGGGGGTTGGAGCGGGCATGGCCAAGGCACAGATGATCCTGGGGCATCTTGGTGCAGATCCTGGGAGGCCAGGGCTGCACCTGTGCCGGGGCTGTCAGGCGCTCCAGCTGGAGAGCGGCGGTTCTCCTGGGCTCTGCAAAGCCTGGACCCCCTCCTTGGACATCCCCTGCCCCCGCGAATTGCATGGGGTGCGCAGCCAAGCCTGACCTTTCAGAATGAAACTGAGAGCCCCAGTGGGGTAGGCTTCTCATTTCACAAGGTGACTAAGGGAACCGGGGAGTTTCCTGTCTAGGATGGGACAGAAGTCCCCTGCACCCAGGCAGGGATGTATGGCCTGGGAAGCCCCCACACGGGAGTCCCCAGGAAGGCCCAGGCTGGGCAGGCTCAGCTGGGGCTGGAGCAGTGGACAAGACAGCCCCCCGTGCATGTCACAGAGTGCCAGGTACGCCAGCCTGTGACGGTCTCAGGACATGCCCTCAACACTAGGTCCAGGGCAGGCCAAGCCCCTCCAGCTGGACAAGTGGGTCCAGCCCCTCAGACTGTCGCATGATGTGGCCCCTCCCCTCAGACTGCCCGGGACGGGGCCAGATTCCTCAGAACCACCCCTCCATGATGTGGTCTCTCAGATGCCCCCAGGACAGGACTGTCCTCTCCCACGAGGCCTCAGGCCAAAGAAGGTCCCCTGACCCTGGGCGGGGTCCAGGCTCCGCTTCGGCTACCAGCCAGGCTGGACTGCGGTTCCTCCACTCGGGGGCACTCCTGTCTCGCCCCGCTGTCCAGCAGACAGTCACTAGCTTGTCCTTGTCCCTTGGGGGCAGGGACGAGGATTTCACAGAGCTGCCTTGTGGCTCTGGGGGGACTCTCTGGTGACGCTGGGGGATGCCTGCCCTCTATAGCCCCCAAGAGCAAGGCTCTCCCCACACTGAGGAACTATCTGGCCTTGGAGGCCTTGAGGCGATGAGGACGGGGCGTCCTGGTCCACAGCTGGGGAGGGTCAGGTTGCCCTCTCAGACCTTGGGTTCGACATATCCAGATGTTGGAGCCCAGCTCTGCAGGGGTGTACCCTCCCTGGGGTCACACTGCATTTTTGGCTGCAGTGCCTGTCCTTGGCCCAGCTGCCCGGGGGTGCCCACCCGCCCAGGCGTGCCCACCCCATGTCCACACCTAGAAGGCAAGTCTGCCTGCCGCCACCCTGTCCCACAGACACCCTGGCTGCCCTCTCAGTCTGCCCCTGTGTAGCCCAGGCCCCCATCAGGATGACCCTACCCCCAGTCTGTTCCCCATGAGCGACCAGGCCGTGTCTCCCACGGAAAGAACCATTCACCAGCTACAGGCAAACTCCATGCCCCTGGGTGGCCATGCCAGGCCCTCCTGGCCTGGTTGAACTCACTTCCCATCCCACCAGCTTTCCCAGCTCTTCCCAGTTTTGGAAGGTGTCAGAGCCCTGGCACATGCCCCTCCTAGCATCACCCAACCGCCCTGCTCCTCTGCAGACCTTCAAAGGCCTGCCCAGCCCGCGGTGGGAGGCCGCTGCCCAGGGCTCTGGCAGCACCTGCCATGGACAGGGCCAGTCCTGGAGCCCCGCCTGGCCCATCGGAGCCTCCCTCGCTTCTCTGTGTGCTGAGCTGAGTTGGGAAGGGCAGGGATGACCTGAGGGGCTGCTCTGGCAGGGTTCCTTCTGGCCATCTGTCCCTGGAGACCCTCAGAGCTCCAGATTCTGAAGGAGGAAGGGGCTGGAGGCCCCCGGCAGCCCCCTGGAAGTCTTCATCTGAGCAGCAGGAGCCCATGGGATGGAACCCCCCAGGCAGCCAGGCCCTTGGGCAGCCCTCCCGCCCACCTGCCCTCCGAGCCAAGGCCAGGCACCACCTGGAGGATGTGCAATGCTCCACGCTGGGGCAGGTGGCCCTGAGAGCCCCCAGCGGTGCCCACGACTGCTCAGGAAAGAGGGCAGAGCTGGGGACAGTTGGGGAAGCCACCTCAGCCCCAGCCCTAGCCCCACAGGGGCTGCTGAGGGAGGTTAGGATTGAGGGCTAAGCCCTGGGGCTCCCTCCCTACACCTTCCTGTGGTCAAGACCTGATGTCTGGACCCAGGATCCCTGGGGAGGTCCCCTTCCTCCTGCCCTGGGTAAGGGGTCTGAGGCATCTGGAAGTTTCCCAGGGAAGCAGAAGGATGTCTTCTTCCTCGTGGGCTGGCAGGCGCTGCTGTCCACCGACACCCAGCTGGGCTGGTCGCACAAGTGGGAGCATCACAGGCCCCACCCCCGCTGATTCTGGAAGCCAGAATCCTTTCTTCCTGCGCCCCCTTCCTGGTTCCCTCGTGTCTCCTAAAACAATCCTGGAGCCACACAAGGGCAGTGCCAGGAGGGTCTGGGGTCCAGCTGGGACAGGCCCTGGCCGGTGACACCCTGGGGTGGCAGGATGGTGGGCCTCTGCTCCGCTACCCTACGGGCCAGCCTGTCTCCACCTCAGTTCCCTGAGAACGTGCCAGAGGGATGGGTGAGCCCTAGAGAAGAGGAGGGTGTTGGCAGTGGAAAGGGCCCAGTGGTCTCCCGCTCTGAGTCCTCAGCCTGGTGAGGGGTGGGGGCGTGAGCTCTGCCTTGCAGTCCCAGCCCCTGAGATCCCACTGCTGGGGCGGCGGGAGGGGGATGGGCTGCAAGGCCCCAGGGCTGGCCTTGCTTCGGCTGCTATAGGCCCTCGGAGTGCTTTCTGGATGAGTAAGCCGCACCCCTCTGAAGCCTCAGTTTCCCCATCTGCACACTCAGAATGTAGCCACTCAGACCAAGCGTTCACTCCATGCCAGTCTTTGCCAAGCTATTTATTTATTTATTTGAGACAGAGTCTCGCTCTGTTGCCCAGACTGTAGTGCAGTGACACAATCTCGGCTCACTGGAACCTCCGCCCTCCAGGTTCAAGAGATTCTCCCACCTCAGCCTCCTGAGTAGCTGGGATTACAGGCACCTGCCACTGCCCCCGGCTAATTTTTGTATTTTTAGTAGAGAAGAGGCTTTCACCATGTTGGCCAGGCTGGTCTTGAACTCCTGACCTCAGGTGATCCACCCGCCCCAGCCTCCCAAAGTCCTGGGATTACAAGCATGAACCACCGCGCCCTGCCTTTGCCAAGCTTTTTAAACCAAGGCTCTTGTTTCATCCCCCGGAGCTGTGAGGCAGGTCCCTGGAGCCTCCCATTTCACAGACGGAAACCGAGGCTCACAGGGGCCAAGTGCATTGTCCAAGGGCTGCTCCCTGCCTGGGGAGGGGCCTGAGTCCTTGCCCCTGTGGGGTTCGGGTGCTGAGGGCCCACAAGACCTGCGGGCACCAGGAGGGAGCTGGGCTGGGCTGCCCTTCCCGGGGTCTCTCTGACCCCACACCACACACCAGCCACTCTGGACTCAAAGGCTCCCAAGAGCACCAGAGCACTGCTCATGGCCCAAGCTCAGCAAGCACTTAAAGGGACCGTCCCGAAAAGCGGAACTGGGACCGGGCGCTGCAGGACCAGCAAGGTCCTCCACTTCCCTCCAGCCCAGCCCCGCCCAAATCCCAGCCCTCAGCATCTTTTTGGGGGCCACTAAAGACCTTCTGGGAGATGGCAGCCCAGGACCATAAGGCAATCGAAGAGGGCTTTCCACATGCGCTGAGGCAGACAGAACCAGGCCCTGGCTGTGGACGAGGCTGTATTGATACTTAGAAGAGAGGGAAGCGAGCGGGCTGGAGAGGCTCGGCCAGGGGGCAGCCCAGCAGGGCCCCTTCCCCAGGGTTAGACTCTCTACAGCCGGCCCAGCCCCCATCCCCTCCCCAACATCTAGGGACCTGAAAAGAGGTTGGAGGGGCTGCATGGGGGTGGGGTTGATAGGAGATTAGGGGATTGAGAAAGCCAGGCCTCCTAGCCGTGTCCCACCCAGCACGGCCCCACCAGTGCCAGACACAGGCAGACAAGGGAGGAGGGAGATGCTGAGCAGGGGTGGCAGGAGGAAAGCCCCTGGCCCTTTCTTGGGGCCAGGCAAGTCCTATCCTAACTCCATCTGCTAACTGCCTCCAAGCTGCTTGTGGGTTGTCGGGGAAGGGAGTTTGTGGCAGGGAGGGCCTCTGAGTCCCCTGTATCCCCCGGCAGGAGGAGGCAGGCACATGGGCCCCTGACCTCAGTGCTTGGAGCAGGGCCGCTCTGGTGGGGCATTTGTAGGTCACAGCATGAAGGGTTCCAGCATACTTCCTGGGTTCCCAGTTTCCCTGGGAGCAGTGGTATAGACGCAGGGGCCTCTACACACACCACACGCTCAGGGAGAGTGGCTGAGGTGTCCAGGATACTCTGTCCACTGGGGCAGGGGGTGGCTTCTAAGCCCAGTACCCTTCCCAGAGTCCCCAGTCTCCAGCTGCTCATGGGCTGCAGATGAGGATTCAAGGTTATGCAGGGGTCACTCTCCTGCTCCATCCCTGGCAGGTGGGACCTCACCTACTGCTTCTTTCTGCTCCAGAGAAGAGCACGTCCCCCTCATCTCAAAAGTGCCTGTGCTCCTCCTTCCTGAGTGGAACCTACACTTTTGACAGTTTGGTTTCTGAGGCAAGGCTGCCTCCTCCTCCTGTCCCAGGTACCTCCCCTCAGAAAAGCAATGGGACTTGGGATAGAAGGATCTAGCCAATTCGTTCCAGATGAATCTAGAAATAATCCTTTAGCCTTTCTCTTAGACCCAGTCCCAACCAAAATCTGAGCTTCATCACCACCACCCAGCACCCACCATTCACCACCCAGCCTCCAGCCCCCAGCCCCCAGCCCCCAGCCCCCAGCACCCATGACCCACCACCCTGCCCCCTACCCGTGGCTCTGGCCCATTCTCCTGCTGTCAGCAGTGCCTGCTTGAACAGAGGGCCACACTGAACAGATGCATGCTGCAAGCATTTGGAGGCTGCCTCCTCTTTAAATCACAGACATTTATCCACCAGGGATCACTCGGGAGCCAATGAGGCCACCACCCTGACCTCCCCTGTCCCCATGGGCTCTCTCAGTGCTCAAAGCACCTTTCACTGGGATGCTGCTCTGTGAACATACATTCGCAGGTATGTGTCGGGGATGATGAGAATGTGTCAATATGAAGACAGATCCCTGCCCCTGTAGCCCCTGCTTAGGCTCTATTGAGGTGTTCAGCCTCCTGGGCCATGGTGGTCTGCTTTATCCTTGGGCCATGAGCTTATGAACCATGTCTTAGTTGCATAAGAAAGGAAAAATAAAGATTAGAAAAGAATCAATTATGGAGAACAGTATGAATGAATGGAAAGATGAATGAAGAATGATAGGAAGTAGGAACAAATGGATGGATGGATGGATGGATAATTGAATGATGGATGGATGGATAATTGAATGATGGATGGATGGGTGGATGGATGGAGGGATGAGTGGATGGATAGGTGCATGGATCGATGGACAGGTGGGTGAATGGATGGGCAGATGGATGGGGTGGATGAATGAATGGGTTGGATGGACTCATGTATAAATAGAGTATAACTCATGCATAAATAGAAAGAATTATTTAGTAATTGATGAATGGATGAACAAATGAGCAGATGAACAAAAAATAGATGGATGGACAGAAGAACATCTGTATGTATATATGGATGTTTGGATGAAAGAACGAATGGATGGGTGGATAGATAAATGCAGATGTGATATTTAGAATATTTAACAAAGCATGTGGTACAAATATGAATCTACTGGAATGGGTGCTGATTATATATATTCCTATATTGAACTGTGTTGTACCTGTGCATATTGGCTGATCATCAGCCCAACAGCTAAATGAGCAAATGTACCAAAACAAAAGATGAGTGGATTTATGGATGAATGGATGATGGATGAATGGGTGTATAAATGGGTAAATGAATGTATTGATGGAAGGACACATGAGATGGAATTATGTATGGGTGGATGATTGGATGGCTGGAATATGGACATATAAATGATTGGAAAGATTAATAGAAGGATGTCAGGAGAAGTAGACATATGGATGGATATGGATAATAGATGAATAGATGGATACGTGGGTGGATATAACAAGAGATGAGTAGAAAGATAGATAGATAATGAATCAATAGACAATTGAATCCGTGCTGAGTAAACTATTAGAAAGACGGATGTGTGAGTAGACACTACTAAATCAGGAATTTTGCACTCTCTTCCAGGAACACTTCCTCCCATTTCTCTCATCTCTTTTCAAATAAGAAAAGAATTACTTCTTTCCATGAGGCTTTCATATATAAAGACCCAAGGAAAGAATTACTTATTTCCATGAGGCTATCATACGTAAAATATCAATCCCCTCCAGAACTCCATATGCCTTTACCCTGATTTATATTTTCTGTCATATTTTCCATCATCTGACCTTTATTTATTTATGTGTTTGTTCCCACACTTGAAACATGATCATCATAAGAGCAGGGACTTTGTTAATGCTGAATCCCCAGCACCTTCAAAGTGTCTGAATTCAGTACAGATTTATTGAATAAATATATGGAAGGATGGAGAGACAGATGGATAGACAGATGGATGAATGAATGGATGGATGGATAGATGGGTGGATGGATGGATGGGTGGATGGATAGATGCATGGATGAATGGATGGATAGATGGATAATGGATAGATAAATAGATGAATGGTTGGATGGATGGATGAATGGATGGGTAAATGGATGGATGGATAGGTGAATAGATGGATAAGTGAATGGATGGATGGATGGATAGATGGGTGGATGGGTGGATGGGTGGGTGGATGGATGGATGGATGGATGGATGGATGGATGGATGGATGGATTGGTGGATGAGTGGATGAGTGGATGGGTGGATGGATGGATGGGTGGATGGATAGATGGATGGATGAATAGATGGATGGGTGAATGGATGGATGGATGGATGGATTGATGAGTGGATGGATGGATGGGTGGATGGATAGATGGATGAATAGATGGATGGGTGAACGGATGGATGGATGGATGGATGGATGGATTGATGAGTGGATGGATGGGTGGATGGATAGATGGATGGATGAATAGATGGATGGGTGAATGGATGGGTGGATGGATGGATGAGTGGATGGATGGATGGATGAATGGATGGATGAATGGATGGATGAGTGGATGGGTGGATGGACGGATGCATGGATGAGTGGATAAATGGATGGATGAATAGATGGGTGGGTGGATGGGTAAAATGGATGGATGAACTGATGGATGAATGGAGAGATGGACAGAGAGATGGATGGATGAGTAGATGGATGGATGAGTGGGTGAATGGATGAGCGCACACATAACAGTGGAGTTGACATCAAATACTCTCCCATATTGTCCCTCACAGGACATGCTCTAGTTGTAAAACCATGAATCTTGGCCGCTACATGTAAATATCTGTTCTTGTCACTTCCCATCCATCAGCATTTCTGACAGATGATCATTCTCTAGTGACAGGGAAGTCCTGCCATTCCAAGGTAGCTCTTTTCCCTGTGGGAATATTCTTCCTTCTTTTGAACTAAAATATGCCTTGGCCACATTTCATTCCTGGCTGTCTGTGGCTGGGACTCCTCCAGAAGTTAAAACAGGAGGCAAGGAGGAAATAGGCAGGTTGAGGTGCAAATGAAGCACATGCTCACTGCCCCCCACCCCAGGTAATCTCACCTTACCTGGGTGATCTGTCCTCCCTGAGTGATCTCAGTTTCTCTGTGTGATCTTCCCTACCCCTGGTAATCTCACCTCCCCTGAGTGATTTAGCTTTCCCTGGGTGATCTCACCTCCCCTGGGTGACCTCACCTCCCCTGGGTGACCTTACCTCCCCTAGGTAATCTCGCCTCCCCTGGGTGATCTCACCTCCCCTGGGTGATCTCACCTCCCCCAGGTAATCTTGCCTCCTCTGGGTGACCTCCCCTCCCCTGGGTGAGCTCACTAAACATTTGTCCAACCTGAGGTCCAGCCCTGGCTACCATCCCTCCTGCTTACTCCAGAATCCTGTGGTCTCTGCAGCTTTGTGGATGCTGGGGATGTGGGGCCAACACCATGGTCTCTAGTGGACATTCCCTGCTTCCTCCTGGGTTGTGCCGGGGGAGGGGAGATGCTGTGGGCTCCTCTCTCCAGGACTGGCCCTGGGACCCAGTCTGGTGTGTATGTAGGGAGTGGGGACGGACTTCCTGACTCCCGCAGTCTCCATGGGGTAGCCCACCACCTGAGTCACCACAGCCCGGTCTATGGTCCCATGTGGAATTTTCCGACTGTTGCCGCCACCCCCGGCGTGCTGCCCTCCGCGGTGATTCACCCGCTTGCCCGTCTGCTCACAGCCTCACCCTTGCTTCCCTCAGTGTTCCCAAGGTGCTGCGCAACCCCAACTCCCTGGCCTGGCCAGGGTCATGATAGCTGGGGAGGCAAGAGGTGGCTGTTCTCCTTGAATGTAGGGACAGAGGGTGGCATGGGCAGATGAGTGCCCGTGCACAGATGGTGGCCCAGGACTAATTGGGTGGCCAGCGGCCGGCAGATCTGGCTCTGGTTCTGGCTGTGCCAGGCCCTCACTCTGTGACCTTGGATGCCAGTGCTGCTGGCTGGACCTTGGTTTCTCCATCCTGGACATGGGTACATGGTGGTTCTGAGTGCCAGCGAGCTGGGCAAACCGCCGGATGTGAGACTGCCGTCGCGGAGCTGACCCTCGGTGAGCCCTGAACATGCGTCCCATCCCACCCCTCGTCCGTCCGGCCACTAGCCCCGAGTGTTCTCCAGTGAGTCACAGCAGCCAAGCCCAACCAGAGGAACAGAGGGCTGGGCTGCTCCTCCCTGGGCCAGGGCCAGAGGACGCGGGCAAGGGGGGCCTGGCTGGCGAGGGCACCAGGCCCACTTTGTGCCCACTGGCCACCTCTTGGGACCATGCTGTGCCAATACCAAACCGAAGATGCTGCGTTGGTGGCGTCTCTGCCTCTTGGGTCAACTCTGCAGTCTGGCTGGGGGGTTGGGCCCACCAGGAAAGGCAGCAGCCTCCCCATTTGGGGAACAGAGAGGGTTCTTGGGGTGCCAAGCCTTCTCTGGAGGTGACAACAAGAGCAGAGGCCGGGAATGAACAAAGGGAAAGTGGAGAACCAGGAGCGGGGGAGAGGGGAGGAGGGGAGAGGAAGGGAGGGGAGGGGAAGGGAGGGAGGAGGGAAGGAGGGAGGGAGACAGAGATAGGGACAGAGACACCAGAGGGAAAGGAGAGAGGAGAGAGGGGCTGAGTGCGAGACGGGGAAGGAGGGGACGGGACAAAGAGGAACCAGCGAAGGGTCCAGGCCTGCGATGATGGTGAGGGAGGTGGCAGGTTGACGAGGGGCTGGACAAGAACGGCCGACGAAGGAGAAGAACAGAGGAGGGCCCGGGCAGGGCCTGGCAGAGGGCATGAGGCACTCCGAGGTGGGAGGCGGCGATGGGCAGAATAGGCCCCTGTGCCTGGGGCAGGGGCACCACAGAGGGCTAGGGGAGACCGAGAAGCGGGCAGCGGCTACCAAGGTGGCCTGAGGGCAGAGGCGGAGGGAGGAAGGGAAAGAGGAAGGGAGGGAGGGAGGGAAGGAGGCAGCCACGCTGCCCATCAGCGCGCCACAGAGGTCTGGCTGAGCCCCACGCTGCTGGGCTGGGAGAGTTTTCGCTCTGACATTTTTACTCTTCTCGGAAGGAGGAGGAGGTGGAGGTGGAAGAGATGGAGGCGGGAGGAGAAGGGGGCTGGGGGAAACAAAAGAGAAGCAGCTGCTGAGAGTCCTGAAGTAGGAGAGGGGAAAGGGAGACCCACAGTCAGGGAGACCCACAGGGATGGGGACACAGGGACCAGGCTGCCTGCAGGGAGCCGGCCTGCAGACCCTCGTGCCAGGAGCCGAAGGGAGGGACCAGGCTGCCCACAGACCCCTGTGCCAGGTGCCAGAGGGAGGGACCAGGCTGCCCAAGGGAGCCGGCCCACAGACTCCTGTGCCAGGGGCCAGAGGGGCCAAGACAGGCAGGCAGAGGGTCACAGGGACAAGGAGAACACCAGACAGAGAGAAGGGACAGGGGAGGGGTGACAGCCAGCGAGAGACCGAGGGCCAGGGCAGAGCGCCAAGGAAGTGCAGGAGTGAGAGGGGCCAGGAGAGGCAGGAAAGCCAAGGAGAGCTGGGCACAGGGGGGCAGGGGTGCGGGAGGAGGGCAGCAGAGAGGAGGGCCAGCAGGACAGGAGCCTTTGAGATGCTGCTCTATCCCCGGGGCTGGGGTCAGGCCAGGTCGCCGCCTGAGCAGAGGCTGCAGCCTGGGCAGTCCCGGGCTTCTGAGGAGGAACTCTAGCAGACAGGGCCTGGATACCTCTTGAGGTAGGTCCCTCCTGCCCTGGCTGGGCATGGAGGGCAGGGCAGGGTGCCCATGCTGGGCTGCCACATGCACCGGGCCACTGGGCCTCCCCCCAGCTTCGGTAGGCTCTGCTGCCCCAAGCGTGGGCAGCGAGAGGGTGCCAGGCTGGTTGCGTGTACATGTGTGAGTGCGGAGGCTGCTTGAGGCCTCTCTTCCTCCTGGCTCCTGGCAGCTGCCCATGCATTCTCCTTCCCCATCCCACCTGCACTGCCGGCTGCGCTGTCGCCTGCTCACACCGTCCCACCCGCACCGCCGGCTGCACTGTCACCCGCTCACACCGTCCCACCTGCACCGCCGGCTGCACTGTCACCCATTCACACCATCCCACCTGCACCACCGACTGCACTGTCACCCGCTCACGCCGTCCCACCTGCACCGCCGGCTGCACTGTCACCTGCTCACACCTCTCCCCGAGCCCCAGGGATTCTGCTTGACTCTGAGCCCCCAAAATGAAGGGCCCATCCTCTGGGTGGCTTCTGGGGCCTCCCGTGGGGTCCTTCGGATCCTGGGCACCCTTCAGTCACCCTCACTTCACAGATCATGAAACTGAACTTTGGGCTGAGCTTACCGGCCCTGGCTGCAGCCACCAACCCTGAGTGGGAGGCTCCTCAGGGCCAGGGAAGGTGCCCGGGCCTTGTCCACCTGCAGGTGTTGGGCCAGTGTGGTGCCCTCTCCCAGCCTGTTTCTTCCTCTGTAAAGTAGTGGTGTGGCCCTTCATGGGGTCAGGTGGGAGAGCAGAGTTTGGAGGGCCCAAGGCTCCTCAAGACCCAGCCTGGGCAGTCTCAGAGATATCCCTCTGCACCGTCAGCCACTCTGAGCCGCCTGTAGTGCCCTTTCTCCTCCTCAACCCTTCCAGGCTTTTAAGCCAAACTGAAACACCACCTCCTGCTTGAAGGCTGCCTTGCTTCTTCCTAACCTGGAGGGCTGTCCTGCTCTGACTTCCTTTGATGGCATGGAGCATGCTGGCCGGACCTCGAGCTACTGGAAGGCAGGGCTGGCATCGGTCGGCTTGCCACTGCCCACCCAGGCCAGGCACTCAGTGCTGAGACTCTGAGAGGCCAGAGAGCCAGGGATGCCCATGGGGGTGAGCTAAGTGGGGTCTGAGGAGTTGAGGGCAGCCCGGCTCACCCCTCCTCCCCAGCTCCCACTTGTTGGGTCCGTGCAGATGCAGAGAGATGGCTCCGATCTGGTCCCCACCTGGCAGGGTCTCCGGCTGTCACCTGAGTTCAGGACCAGCACCAGGATCTGCAGTGGGCCCCTGGCTGGGCACACCTCATCCCAGCCTCCCCCTACCCCTGGCCCCCCATAAGCCTCCTCCTCCTGGGCTTCCAGGCTCTGCTGGTCAGACCTCCCTCCCTGCCCAACGGGAATGTGTTTTCCCAGGGGACGCTGCTGTCCACCAGGAGCTCTGTGGCCTGGGATTTGAGGAGTGCCTGGGGTCAATCCCCCAGGCTCACCAGTGCTACTTAACAAATGGGCCCAAGAGAAGGAAGTGCAGCCCCCGGAGGAGGGGCAGAGCCCCTGCCTGGCTGTGCGGTGGCTCACCCCCTTGTCACCAGGGGCTCGGCCATGAGCATCCGTCCAGCGGGCCCAGCACCAACTGCAGCCCCAGGTGAGCAAGCCGCACTCAGGAGGCACTGAAACCGTGTGGGCCCAGGCTCGGGGCCAGTCCCTGTGGACCTGGGGAGGAGACACTGAAGCCGCGTGGGCCCAGGCTCAGGGCCAGTCCCTGTGGACCTGGGGAGGAGGCACTGAAGCCGCGTGGGCTCAGGCTCGGGGCCAGTCCCTGTGGACCTGGGGAGGAGACAGTGAGGAGGGGACCTCACTTGCGGTGGTCAGCCAGTGGGTTGGTGGCATAAGGACCCGTCCCTTTGAACTCCCTTGGAACTTGTCCTGATGGGGGCTGGGCAGAGGGCAGCAAGAGTCCCTTGTCCAGCTAAGGGGAGCCACCAAGGTGAGCTACATGAAGCAAGGCTGACACGTGTGCACTAATACACACCCCCTCCAGGACACAGACCCAGAGGCCGCTGCACCCCACCCACCCACCACACCCACACACACACATGCACACACACACGACCACCCGGGACAGTACTGCGCTCACCACCACTGCCATGATCTCTTCTCTGCAGCCTCCAACAGCTCGGACTTCCCCAGTCCCAGCCCTGCAGGCCAGGCAGACTGCCCCCTACCCACTCCCTGTTGGATAAAGGAGTGAGCCAGGCTCAGAGAAGCTGTGGGTGAAGAGACTTCAAGGCCACTCAGCCGGGCATGATGAGCCCGGGTCCCTGGGTCCCTCCTCCACCCGCATCACCCCACCCCTTTCCCGGGGACCCCTTGGGTGTCCTGCCATGTCAGGTGCAGGGCTGGGAGAGGCATTGCAGGCAAAGTGCTGTGTCCTCAGTGATGAACCCTGAAGGGCCATGCTAGGTGCCCGCAGCTGCCAGGGAATAAATTCAATGCAGTTTACATCCATTAAAAATGGTGCTCTGGGCCAGTGGGAAAACGTGTCCCCCCTGCCCCGTCGCCCCCCACCCCTGCCCCAGCGATTCTCCTTGTCTACACCCAGTGCAAGCCCAGGGGCTCTGCATGTAGTCCCATAACACCATTTTCTCCAGGTCTGGCTGTACCCAGCCCCTGCCAGAATGCGGCTTCTGGCTGGCAGGGTCAGGCCCTGGGCTGACCTACCCCCAATGCCTCCCTGCCAAGTCTGCCCTTCCAGGCACCTGGGAGTCTGCCCTGTGCCTCCTGCCTGCCCCTGGGCAACTCGGGGCTCTCCCAGGGCCAGCTCGGGCAAGGCAAGTGTTAGGGATGGTCAGGGGACCTCAAGAGGACTTCAGCCCACTCAACTCCAGACGTCACCCGGACTCAGCCAGCGGCCTGGCCCTGCTACCTGTGGGGTCCTGGCTTTGTGAGAGGGCACCAGGCCGGCTGAGAGTGCCTTGTAGCCTGGCCCGGAGTGAAGAGGGGGGCTGGGGATCAGCCTGGCAGACGTTCTTATCAAGCATTGAGGTCCCCGGAGCCCCGTGCCCACCCTTAGCCATGGCTCTTTGGGCGGTGTGAGCCCCTCCATTCCCTCCATCTCGGGCACACATCTGCCCACACATATACAGATGTGGCAGCCACACCGTGCTTGGCTCTCCGCAGGGCTCTAAGGCCCCTCAGGCAGGGACCCACCCTGAGCAGCCTGGTCCAGGGACCTCTGGGGCTCCTGATGTGGCCAGTGGGGCAGGAATGGGCTGGCAGCCTGCTGGGCTGGCCCTGAGGGGGCTGGGGGAAGCCAGGCCTCCAACCACAGTGTCCAAAAGGGTGTGGCTGCCTTGGGCCCATCCAGGCCTGAGATCCTGAGGGTGGGGTAGCCCCCGCCCTGGCAGGGCTGGAAGTCGGTCTTCGGACAGAGCCCGTCCTGCCCAGAAGCCCAGGCGAGCCAGCAGCAGGGGTGCAGGGACCGAGTGGCCCAGCCCCCTGGGCAGGGTGTCAGGGCCAGAGCCCAGAGGACGGCGGTTCAGGCTTCAGTCCCAGCCGGCGAACCAGAGCTGGGCAGAGCGGCCAGCAAGCGGCAGCCAGGGTGCCCTGGGCACTCGACCCCCAGATGCCCCTGCTGGAACCGTAAAGGGGAGGCACCCTGAGGCCAGAGGGAGCATGGCCCCGGGGACTGAGCATCCGGCTCAGAGCGGCTTGGCAGAGGTCGGTGGACTGGGGTTAACCACAGAGGTCTCTGGAGGGCAGACAGGAGCCACTGCAAGTGGGAGCTTGTGGGAGAGAAGCCCTTGGGTGACCCCTGGATGGGGCGGGGACCATTAGGGAGAAGG
Organism: Homo sapiens; assembly: GCF_000001405.40. Lineage (NCBI taxonomy): Eukaryota > Metazoa > Chordata > Mammalia > Primates > Hominidae > Homo > Homo sapiens. The sequence continues at coordinate 59,615 of NW_021160004.1, forward strand.
GTGAGGGGCTTGGCCCCTGCCCCAGGCTCCAAGTGGGCTGAGACCCGGGAGGCTTGAGGGTCGGCTGCTACCCATGACGGGTTGGGGAGGTATTGGTGCGAGCTGAGGTGGTGCTTGCGGAGGTGAGATTGAGGGCCGGGCCTGGCCAGGGATGCTGGGAGGGGGGCAACCCTGTGCCTGGGGCTGTGAGGGTCTCTTGACGAGAACAAACCCTACCTGGGGAGAAGTGACAGAGAAAAGAAAGAAAGAAAGCGAAGGCACGAGAAAGAAATGAGAGAAAGGGAGGGAAAAATGCTGAGAGGGAGGGAGAGCAGGGGCTGCCTTGAAGGAGGAGGGAGGGGGAGCAGAAGCGGGTGCAGGGTGGTGGCAGGATGGGAAGGGCAGAGGGAGGGGCTGAGGTGCGAATGGAAGCTGTGTGAGGGTCCCGGGCACTGCCCCTTGCCGCCGACCCCAGGTGTGGGAGGAGGGGTCTCTCCCACGTGGGCCGCACCTAGCAGGTGCCGGGGCAGAAGGCTCAGAGCCGCTGTCTCACACAGCTTCTTGGTGCTCCAAAGACGGGCGGTAGGAGGAAGATCAAAGAAGCGAGAAATGGATGCTGGAGGAACGCAGTGAGGCCAGGCGAGGGCTGGCGAGCTTGCCAAGGAGAGGGCGGGCGAGGAAAATGGGGCGCCCCACAGAGGAGGGGGCGTGGGGGGGGCTGGTTTTCCCCGAGACTGAGAAATGAATTTCTGCACCCGGACTGGGACCCCCTGGGTCAGGACCCTCCACTCACATTCAGGAGCAGCACCTCTTCTGGCCTCTGTCCCTGCCTGGTCTTCCCCACACCCGGTTCTTGGGGGTTGAGGGGTTGGAGCCCCAGCCACGTCATCAGCTCCCTGGGACCCCTGCGTGAGACGTGAGAGGTGCACCTCCGAGCCTCCGTTTGTGCATCTGTAATGGGGATGATAGGACTGCGCCCCTGGCGACCATTGTGAGGACGGAGGCGCTGGCTGCACTGGTGCTCACTGTGCCTCTTTAAACGGGGATGTCTGGACCTCTGGTGCAGAGGACCAAGGCCGGTCCACTTGACCTCAGCCATGAGGACATCCCAAGGCCATGTGAGTCTCCCACGGCCCACTGAAGCTGGTCCTTCATACCCCATTTTGCAAACAGGAAAGCTGAGGCTCAGGGAGGCACCAAAGCTTACTCCCATCCTGGGGCTTGGCAGGGGGTGCCCGCAGCACCCGGGGACATACACCGGGGAGTCTCCTGGGAAAGAAGTGCCGGCCCAGGGGCAGACTCTTTTCTGCTCTGCCATGTCTTCCCTGCACCCCCAGGGATGATGAGTCTGGGAGGGGCTGGTCAGCCATGAAAGCTTCGGGGAGGGGCCGGTGGCCAGGCCGGGCACCCCAGAGCTCCACAGGCAGACATGGTGTGGGGGTGTCAGGAAGAGGGCCTGGCTGCTGGGTGCTACGGTAGGAAGATCCCGGTGCTGTGGGAGTGGAGCAGGTGGTTGAATGCCAGGCTGGCTTGGTCCTTCTCTCTGGGTGCCGGCTGTGGCTCCCGCCCAGGTGGGCACCACGTCTGAATAATGTATGAAGCCTCTGGTTGCGTGGAGGATGGGAGCGCTTCGGGCAGCATCTGTGGGCAGAGACTTCAGGGATGTGAGGTACATCTGGGCATGGCTAGCTGGGAAGGAAAGAGGATGGCAGAGCCTCGAGCCGTTGCCAGGGACTGGTTGCGTGTCCCAGAACGTGCCAAAAGCCTGCCTCGTGAGCACGGCAAGAGCTCTGCCAGGGCAGTCCCAGCTGGCCCAGGCGCCGCAGCGCTCCCGAGGGCCGTCGAGCAAAGGCGGGAGGCGCAGCCGGGCTGTCGGTGGACCTGTAGGTATCAGGGCTCCTTGGTCCCCTCCTGCGGGAAGCAGGCACCGAGTGGGGCTGCATGTAGACGCATGCGAGGGTGAGAGCTGCGGCGGAGGACGCTGATCGCGGAGTGCAGGCGAGGGCCCCAGAAAGGTCCCGCAGGTCGCCTCGCTCGTGGCACGGGCTCGGCAGCGTTGTGGTTAGTGACACGGAGGAAGACAGAAAGCCATATGCACAGCACGCAGAACAGGAGGAGGGGGGAAGAAAGAGCAGGCACGGGGCAGGCAGAGCCGCAGCCACGCCGCCGGGATGCAGCAGGCAGGGCCACCCACGAGCAGGGCGGGGCCCTAACCTCCGACCCAGGCTGGTCGCCGCAGATGGGGGCAGAGATGTGAAACAGCTGCAGAGCGGGACAAGGGTGCTGCCGGCACAGGGCTGACCACAGAGCACATCAAAAGAGGTAGGGCACCCAGCGCAAGGGAGGTGATGGGCTGGTCAGCAGGACATCAAGCCGGTTCTGGACCCTGCTCTGAGGACGGTCCCTGACCCAGCCTCTGAGGACCAATGGGAAGCCAGGGGTAGAGGGGTTGGGGGAAACCAGGCTCCATTTTCCAGTCTCAGCAGGGGGCCAAGGCTTGCGGCTCTGCGGAGGCCACACCATGAGGTTTCCAGGGTCATAGATGCCCTTTGGTCAGCGCTGTCTGCCGCTGCACGGGCACCCCTCCTGTTGGGTGTCTGGGTAGACTTGGGGGTCTGTCCGGCTGGCGTGGGCACCTTTGGGAGGGGGGTGTGTGTGGCGGGCAGGCCTGGGCTGTAGTCACCCCAGCCCGTGCTGGTAGAGTTGGGGTCTGTCCGGCTGGCGTGGGCACTTTTGGGACGGGGTGTGTGTGGCAGGCAGGCCTGGGCTGTAGTCACCCTGGCGCACGCTGGTAGAGTTGGGGTCTGTCTGGCTGGCGTGGGCACTTTTGGGAGGGGGGGTGTGTGGCGGGCAGGCCTGGGCTGTAGTCACCCTGGCGCACGCTGGTAGAGTTGGGGTCTGTCTGGCTGGTGTTGGCACCTTTGGGACGGGGTGTGTGTGGCAGGCAGGCCTGGGCTATAGTCACCCTGGTGCACGCTGGTAGAGTTGGGGTCTGTCTGGCTGGCGTGGGCACTTTTGGGAGGGGGTGTGTGTGGCGGGCAGGCCTGGGCTGCAGTCACCCTGGTGCATGCTGGTAGAGTTGGGGTCTGTCCGGCTGGCGTGGGCACCTTTGGGACGGGGTGTGTGTGGTGGGCAGGCCTGGGCTGTAGTCACCCTGGCACACGCTGGTAGAGTTGGGGTCTGTCCGGCTGGCGTGGGCACCTTTGGGACGGGGTCTCTGTGGTGGGCAGGCCTGGGCTGTAGTCACCCCAGCCCATGCTGGTAGAGTTGGGGTCTGTCTGGCTGGCGTGGGCACCTTTGGGACGGGGTGTGTGTGGCGGGCAGGCCTGGGCTGCAGTCATCCTGGTGCGTGCTGGTAGAGTTGGGGTCTGTCCGCTGGCGTGGGCACCTTTGGGATGGGGTGTGTGTGGTGGGCAGGCCTGGGCTGTAGTCACCCTGGTGCACGCTGGTAGAGTTGGGGTCTGTCTGGCTGGCGTGGGCACTTTTGGGAGGGGGTGTGTGTGGCAGGCAGGCCTGGGCTGCAGTCACCCCGGTGCACGCTGGTAGAGTTGGGGTCTGTCTGGCTGGCGTGGGCACCTTTGGGAGGGGGTGTGTGTGGCGGGCAGACCTGGGCTGTAGTCACCCTGGCCTGCGCTGGTAGAGTTGGGGTCTGTCCGGCTGGCGTGGGCACCTTTGGGACGGGGTGTGTGTGGCGGGCATGCCTGGGCTGCAGTCACCCCGGCCCGCACTCAGACTAGTCCTGGCATCACCACTCTGGGGCGAAGTTGATGCAGGAGCTCAGGGCCCTCATGCAGCACTGGGTGGGTCATGAAGCTCAGGGGGCTTCAGCAATGGAGGAGGCGACCCTATCCCATCCCAAGTTGGACAGCAGTCCCAGCGGTGGGGGGTGGGGGTATAGGGGGAAGCAGGTTCGGATTGGGTGGGTAAGGAACCCAGAGGAACAGACCCCTCCCTGTGCACCTCTCCCCAGAGGTGGAGGCAGGGAGAGATGGAGGCAGGGAGAGGTGGAGGCAGGGGGCAGAGACAAGCCTCAGGTCATCAAGAGTTGAGGGCTGGCATCTGGGATACAGGGAGGATGGGGAGAGGGGAGGGCTGTGCGGGTGGGGGGCGGCTCTGTCTCCCCTTGGCTGTGCCTCCCTGGGGACCGCTAGGCATACGCACGGCCACTGCACCCCTTCCTCCCTGCCAGGACCCTGCCCACTGCGGCGACCCCGAGGCTCAGAGCAGGCACAGGAGCCCCTCCTTTGAGAGACTTCCTGCCAGCTCCCCTCTGTGCTTCTTGATCCACATCATGGGTCAGCGCTGGTTTCTTGGCAACTGCTAAGATTTGTAAGGGCAGGGAGGAGATCTCACTCCTCCGTCTTTGGGTCCCTAGCACCTGACAAAATAAACTGCTGGCTAAGGAAAGATGGAGGGAGGGAGGGAGGGAGGGAGGAAGGAGGGGAGGAAAGGAGGGAAGGATAGAGGGAGGAGGGAAGAAGGAAGAGGGAGGAAGAAGGGAGGATGGAGAAGGGAGGAAGGGAAGGAGGGAAGGAGAAGGAGAAGAATGGAAGGAGGAGGGAGGAGGGAGGAACTGGACCGAGGCTATGGCTATGGAAGAATCATGCCCTGGGCCATCCCAGGCAGGCTGAGAAGAAAAAGCTGGAACCAAGTCTGGGCTAGTCTGGTGGTTGTGGGGCAGGAAGTAGCCATCAGGGTGGCAACCAGAAGAGCAGGGAGCCCAGCAGAGGAGGGAGGCCGGCAGAGGAGGGAGGCCGGCAGAGGAGGGAGGCTGGCAGAGGAGGGAGGCTGGCAGAGCAGGGAGCCCGGCAGAGGAGGGAGGCCGGCGGAGGAGGGAGGCCGGCAGAGGAGGGAGGCCGGCAGAGCAGGGAGCCCGGCGGAGGAGGGAGGCCGGCGGAGGAGGGAGGCTGGCAGAGCAGGGAGGCCGGCAGAGGAGGGAGGCCGGCAGAGGAGGGAGGCTGGCAGAGCAGGGAGGCCGGCAGAGGAGGGAGGCCGGCAGAGCAGGGAGGCCGGCAGAGGAGGGAGGCTGGGGACAGTGGGGGCAGGCCGGGGACAGTGGGGGCAGGCCGGGGACAGTGGGAGCAGTGTCGGGGACAGTGGGGGCAGGCTGGGGACAGTGGGGGCAGTGTTGGGGACAGTGAGGGCAGGCCGGGGACAGTGGGGGCAGGCTGGGGACAGTGGGGGCAGGCCGGGGACGGGGGGGCAGTGTTGGGGACAGTGAGGGCAGGCCGGGGACAGTGGGGGCAGGCTGGGGACAGTGGGGGCAGTGTCGGGGTGAGGATCTGGTCTCCCGACACCCCTTCCCGGGAGCGAGACCTCAGGCCCAGTCTTCACTCCCCAGCTGTGAAATGGGTGAGAACAGAGGGTGGCTGAGACTCAGGGCTGTTCAGGGTGGGGTGGGCTCTGGACCCAGCAGGCCCGGCACCCAGGCCAGGGCTCCAGGGGAGGCCAGGTGGGGCGAAGGCCAAGAAGGGGCCGGGGCTGGTCAGAAAGGGCTCCTGGTGACCAGAGCACTTTGCCTGAGCCAGCGTGGGAGGGAGGTGGGCTGGATGAGCCAGGGAGGCGCCGGGAGGGGCCTTGGCAGAGGCGACTCCCTCCGGCAGCCCCCAGGCCACTGAACCCTGGGTAGTGAGAACCGGCAGGGGAGGCTGCAGACGGAGGAGTGGAGGCTCCTTGGCTTTGGGGGCTCTGAGTAGAAGCACCTAGGGGGTCCCTCAAGAGGTCCCCAAATGCTGCCCCATGGTGAGGAAACAAGGAGAGGCCCGGCAGGGCCCCCCTTGGTTACAAAGGGCTGCCACTGTGAGAAGGCAACACTGCCGGCTGGGGCTGGGCTTTCTACCTCACCAAGCCTCTTCCCACCCAAAGGGCCCAGAGAGGGGCAGCTGCCCCCCACAGCGGGCACAGCACCTCCTCCCTGTGTGATGGGGTGGGGCCCACAGTCTCCTTTCTCGCGGCCTCCCTGGGCTGACCCTGGGTCCCAGCTCGGCCATGGGGGCTTCGGCATGTAAAGCCCATGGGGGGCAGAGCCTCCGGCCCCTGCCAGCTTCTGGCTGTCTGTGTCGCCCCCAGCACTGGGCTGGTGCCGTGGAGGGAGGCTCCGCCCTCCCCCCCATCAACCCGCTGAGGAGTTCTGTCTTCCCAGGGTTGTGAGGGAAGCCAGCTCTGCAGGCCGATGTCCAAGTCCAGGCGCTGCCTCCTCCAGGGAGCCTTCCAGACCTGATCTGTGCAGCAGAGGCCCAGAAGGACCTGGGTGTGGGGATCCTAACAGGAGGCGGGGGACCCAGCGCGTGCAGAGAGGGTCCCAGTGCTTCCTCCTGAGTGAGGGTCACCCATCCGGCTCCAGCTGCACAGAGCCACTCCCTCTGAGCAATCCTGCTCTCTGCCTTCCTGCATTAGCTCTTGCCTGCACCCAGTCCAGCAAATCCCTGCTCATCTTTCAGACCCAAGTTCAAGGCCTCCTCCTGCTCCGGGCGGCTCATCACTCGGCCTCCCCAGGCAGAGAGGCTAGGGTCCTGCTCACTGCGGCGTCTCCCTTGCCCACTGGCGTGGGACTACAAGGAAAGGGGTTGACCCCCACCCTCCCCTGCCATGCCCAGCAGGGTGCAGCCACAACCGGGAAGGTGCTAGAGGCCCCGGGGGGGAGGCTGGGCCAGCACCAGGCGTTGGGGGGCAGGTTCCCGTCTCTACGCCCGAGCCCCAGGCGGACGGCGCATGCCCCTCCCGCTGCCCCACCTGTCACCCACCTGCTGGCCCCGGGCTGTCTCTGCTCCTGGCTCCCCTCCCAGCTGCGTCCCCAGCTGCCTCTCCAGGGAGGAGTGACAGCTGGCCTGTGCCACACCCTCGAGCCCCTCCCTGGACTGCCCCCTCCCTGGGGCAGGACCCCTGCGTGTGGCACAACCAAGGGGCCTGCTGATGGGGGCTCATGTGAGCAGTGCCCCAGCTGTGGGTGTGGGTGCTGCCAGCTGCCACCGCCTTTGCCCTGGCTTCCCAGATAGGCCCCGACACACACTCCGAAGCTGTATCATGAACGCTGTGGTGGGCGGCTGGCGGGGAGCGGGGTTGCTGTCCCACTACCCTCTGGAAGCCTCAGCCACGGAGGGCCCCTGTGGGCACCTTTTCCCGGCACACGGTGCTGTGTCTCTCCACTCTTGGGCTCTGCAGTGACTTGAGGGGTCAAGTCTAGGACCCCAGGGGAGGCTGGGCTCATGAGGGGACCAGAGACCTCAGTGCTGTGCAGGGAGCCCCGAACCACCCTGGTGGAAGGCCCAGCCCAGCTCCCCAGGCCTCCTGCCAGCTCCCTGTGGTGTCCAAGGGACCTGTGGTCAGGCCTGGAGGAGAAGCTCCCCCTCCCCTCGACATCCTCCCCGCAGCCCTTGCTCTTCACCAGAGCCTCCTCACTCCCCAGGACCCCAGAGAGGACGGACCCTCTCCAGCCGCCCTCTGGGCTCAGGACAGCCGGGTGGGGCAGCCACAGGAGCTGCCTGCAGGGGGCAGAGTCGGGACGGGGACCGAGCCGGACACCCATTCTGCAAGTGTCTGCAGGGGGAGGACGGAGGTGGGTAGCTGGGAGTGCTGGGCCGAGGATGGGCATTGTCAGGCCCTCAGCGGGGACTGGGAGGTAGAAGTGGGGGTGGGGGTTTGTGGAGGAAGGAGAAGAAGGGCCAGCGTCCCGAGTCGGGGGGTGCTTGGCAGTGGATGAGGCCGGCAGGAACAGACCTGAGCTTGGGGAGCTCCACTCCGAACGAGGCATCCGTCAGAGTTCTGTGCATACTGGTGTCCCTGGCTGGGGGCCAGGCCCCGAAGTGGAGCCTGGGACTGTGAGGGTGCGGGGGTGTGCTGGGGTGGGAGGTGGATGGAGCCCCCCCACCGCCTGGCCCCTTGGGCTGAACCTTGGGCTTCGGAGCCAGAACAGACACAGGAAATCGCCTAATTGCATTTGTGCAGGAACACCAAATCCCTCGCAGCTGCACGGGGCTGAGCCAGGGCCACGGGCGGGGTCGGCCATCCCAGAGTCCTGACAGCTCCGTGGTGCATGCCAAGGGGCCTGGGCCGCTGGCCGGGGGGCGCCTTTCCCAGGCCAGAGGCCCCCACCCCACCCCAGGAGAGCTGCCCCCCTTTCAGTTCCCAGAACGGAGCCCAGCTGTGGAATAGTGAGGGGGTGAGGTCATGGGGAGGGGGCCCGCATGACTCATATCCTGGGGTAGGGGAAAGGGAGGAGACGTAGAAGGGGCCCAGAGGCCTCCACGTCCTCAGGCTGCTGGGTCAGAGGCCAGGGGCTGGCCGGGCTTCTCCCCAGCACTGGGTTTTAGGGGAGACACCAGGAGATGCTTACTCTGCATCCCCTACTCTGTCCCCCAGGCCCCTAGCCAGGGAGAGCTCAGTCGGAGTGATCCTCCAGGGGCCCAGCTCTGCAGGGACGATGTTCCCAGAGTACACACCTGGGCCTCGTGCCAGGGCCGGCACCGCCGTTGTCGGGGCAATGGCAAGGCAAACAGTCAACGTTTGCCTCACTAAAGTGAGGCTGCGGCACCCTGAAGGGATCCCTGGAGGGGGACGTGGTCCCCTTGTTCCCAAGCCTGTCTGCACACGCACGTGGATGTCAAAGGTTCCCGTGTGTGAGCACGTGCATACTTGTATGTGCATGGGGTGCGGGCATGTATGCCTGTGTGGCTGGAGCGTGGGCTCGTGGAGAACGTGTGTGAGTTGGGTGTGCACCTGCGTGTGCCCCAGGCCTAGGGAGTCCTGCGCCCGGCCGCACTCCATGTGTTGGGCATGAGCTGTGAGCAGAGTGAGGGCCTTTGTGGGGCTGTTGGGGCCCGGACTGCTTGCCCATAGGGGTGGACCTGAGGAAACGTGTGCACACGAGCTTCTGGGGTCTCTGCGCCAATGTGTACTTCCAAGCCCCGCCTCCCCTATGGCTTGGTGGAGGGGGTCTGTGGAGCTGGAGTGAGGGCCCTGGACCCATCGGAAGCCCAGGTCCAAGGAGGAGCATGGGCTCCCTCTCATGCCCCAGGCCCAGGGACACACACCCCAGCTAAGCCCTTGCTCACATGGAGGGGCTGGGACATGGGAACACGGGGAGCAATATGGCCAGGCTTCCCCTCCATGGAACCCCTCCACCTCCTCAACACTCTGCCCCAGCCTGCGCCGCCCTCTGTGTGGAGGGGCTGGGGCGTGAGTGAGCACGAGGGCCCCTGCGCCCCAGGCTCTGCCTCCTCAGGTGGAACAAGGCCCAGCAGCCCCCAGCCATGCGGAGGCCGGCAGAAGCGGGAAGCTGGGCCTCATCTGCCCGGATGATGGGAGCCAGGTGTGGGGAATTAAGTGGCTTCCTCGGGGGCCGGGAGTTGAAGGCACTTCTGAGGAGCAGGACAGGCAGGCGGATTCGGGGGCGCGGGGGGCGGGGTGCACAGGCGGCTGGGTTTGCGTGGCTGGAGTCCCCTGTGGCTTCGGTGGGGGGAGTGGGCCTTGAACTCGGGCCTGTGGAAGGGCCTGGCTTTTGTCTGAGAGGCTTAGGGGAGACCTAGGAGAGATTAGATCACGCGCTGGCAGGGCTGTCTGGCCAGGGGACTGGGGCCCAGTGGGGATCAGGCTGCAGGGTCAGGCAGCGGCCACTGGCCGGGAAGAACTGAGACCCCAGTGGGGAGACCCCAGCCCTGCTCCCTGTTCTGGCCTGGGCTCCCTCCCTGGGTCTGGGATAATAAGCCCTGTAGGAGTGTAGAGACCCTGGACCCCCTCTCAGGCTCTAGGAGGGCGATGGGAGGCAGGGCCATGACAGCTGAGGCTGCGGTGTCTGCAGGACCTGGACCATCTGAGAGCTGCTGGGCCGGGGCTCTGATGCCCAGGTCCAGGCCAGCCTGTGCCTACCTCTGTCCCTGAGGGGGGCGCGTGGGACCCCAAGAAGCCATGGTTTCAGGCTCTGAGGGCAGAAGCACTCCCTTACCTCAGTTTCCCCATTTTTGAAATGGCTCAATCGGCTGGGTGCGGTGGCTCATCCCTGTAATCCCACCACCTTGGGAGGCTGAGGCGGGCGGATCACCTGAGGTCGGGAGTTCAGGACCAGCCTGACCAACATGGAGAAACCCTGTCTCTACTAAAAAATACAAAATTAGCCGGGTATGGTGGTGCATGCCTGTAATCCCAGCTACTCAGGAGGCTGAGGCAGGAGAATCGCTTGAACCCAGGAGGCGGAGGTTGTGGTGAGCCCAGATCACACCATTGCACTCCAGCCTGGGCAACAAGAGTGAAACTCCGTCTCAAACAAACAAACAAAAGAAACAGCTCAGAGAGACTCCGCAGAGGGCTCTGAAATAAGGATGGGGTGGGGTTGGGTGAGCCGACCCTGTAAGGTGCCCCCAGCTATGGGGTTAGGCCCAGGCAGGACCCATGAGTCTGCGGAGCTTCTGTGAGCGGGGCTGGTGGTGGGACAGGAGGTGTCCTGCCTGGACGTGCTCAGGCCCTCCTTTCCTCAGCCTTCGACCTCCCCTTTCTCCAACACGCCCTGCCTTTGGGGTGCAGGAGGGAGCACCCGCAGGTGGGGTGGAGGTGCCGCCTGGCGGTGGGCTGCGGCCAGTCTCCCTGGACTCCAGTATCTTCTTCCTGGGCCCTCCAGGGTCACCTGGGTCTAGGTCCTGGTTCTACTTAGGGAGGGAGGCAGGCTGGGAGAGGGGGACAGAGGGCCTTTTGTCCTGTCCTTGAGTTTCTTCAGGCTTGAATGGGCCTTGGAGTCCCACCTTCATCCCCACAGGGCACAGGGGTGCCCAGATCCTCACAGGGCCCCAGGACCCTCGCCTGGGCCAGAGGGCACCTCATGACCACGTGGGCAGCCTCTATTTAAAGATGGACAAGGTGAGGCCTGAGGGCCGGCCTGGGACTGACCTCGTGGACAGGGCTGCCTGCACCGTGTGGCCCCAGCAAGGCCTGTGTAGATGGGAGGAATGGGTGCAAAACAGCACCTGTGTCGGCTGTGGCGTGACTGTCCCTCTGTGTCCCCCACTAGGCCCACTGCTCAGTGGAGCGTGGAGGACGAGGAGGAGGCCGTCCACGAGCAATGCCAGCATGAGAGAGACAGGCAGCTTCAGGCCCAGGACGAGGAGGGAGGCGGCCATGTCCCCGAGCGGCCGAAGCAGGAGATGCTGTGAGCAGCCCCATAACGCGTGCCTGGGCTCTAGCCCCTATCCGTGTACCCTGGGGCCTGGGCAGAGGGGGAGGTCAAGGGCCTGGGCTTGGGGGTTCCAGTGCAGGATGAGAGCGAGGAAGGGCCCCCAGGAGCAGGCGTGGGAGTGGGTGAGTGCTCCTGGGGCGAGGGTGGCCACAGCCCTAGAGGAGGGTCTGCCAATACCTGGCTGCCTCCTGGGCGCTGACCCAGGCTCTGTGTCCGTGCCCTGGCCCTTGCTCGGACCGCCTCTGACCCCAGCCACGCAGCCTGGCCGAGCCCCCCACCAGACTCCCCCGCCAGTGACTCACAGAGCCACGTCCAACTTGGCGGCCAGGCTGGCTTGCTTCCTCCTTGGGCCCAGGAGGCCTCCGCGGCTGGGCTGGGCTGTTTTTCCAATAATGCTTCCCTTCCTTCTGGCCTCTTTTGTTCCATTTTCTCCAAGTCAGCAGCCTTGGGCAGAGTGGGGTTCAGCGGTCACCATAGTCAGGCCCTTGGCCACCCCCACCAAGGGCCCCAGCTATCCAGGGGCTCCCCCTGCCACATGGGAGGCCTGAGAAGTCGGGGCTTAGGAGGACCTCATGTAGGGTCCTCATGTGGGGACCAGGGCAGCCCTTGGGGAGCCCCAGGATGATGGGGGAGGCACAGCCCTGCCCTAGGGAGCCCCAGACTGATGGGGGAAGCACAGCCCTGCTGTTAGGGAGCCACAGGCTGACGGGGGAGGCCCAGCCCTGCCCTAGCGAGTCCCAGAGTGATGGGGGAGGCACAGCCCTGCTCTTAGGGAGCCACAGGCTGACAGGGGAGGCACAGCCCTGTCCTCAGGGAGCCCTACACTGATCGAAGAGGCACAGCCTTACCCTCAGGGAGCCCCAAACTGATGAGGGAGGCATAGCCCTGCCCTCAGGTAGCCCCAGGCTGATGGAGGAGGCATAGCCCTGCTGAGCCTCAAGGAGTCCTGGACTGATGGAGGAAGCACAGTTCTCAGGCTGCCCCAGAACTGACGGGGGAGGCATAGCCCTGCCCTCAGGTATTCTGACCACAGGAGACACAGCCCAGAGCCAGCTCTGTGGCAGACAGGGTCTCCCACACTTGGAGTCCAGGGCCTGAGCGGGCGCCGTGAGGTGAGTGTGGGCCCTGGGCAGAGGAGGCAGCAGCCGCCCAGGCCTAAGCTCCCCCCTGCTACCCTCAGCCTCAGCCTGAAGCCCTCGGAGGCCCCTGAACTGGATGAGGACGAGGGCTTTGGCGACTGGTCCCAGAGGCCAGAGCAGCGGCAGCAGCACGAGGGGGCGCAGGGCGCCTTGGACAGCGGAGAGCCCCCCCAGTGCAGGAGTCCTGAGGGGGAGCAAGAGGACAGGTGAGTGAGGGCCTCGAGGGCGGGCGCTGGGCAGAGCAGGGCTCCCTCTGGACCTCGAGGGCGGGCGCTGGGCAGAGCAGGGCTCCCTCTGGACCTCGAGGGCGGGCGCTGGGCAGAGCAGGGCACCGCGGAGCTCCCTTCAGGCCCTCAACCTGCGCCTGAGCAGCCACCCCATCCTCCCCTTTCCAAGCAGAGCCTGAAATGCCCCCATGGCCAGGAAAGGGGGAGACAGGAGGGGAGGGAGGAAGAGGGCGAGACAGCATGGTGGCCGGCGAGGGGCCGCGAGGAAACCTCATTCTGGGGCTCCCCAGGGCCCCTGGGCCCCATCCAGGCAGCTGCGAGGCCAGGCCGGGTGCTGCCACATCAGCACACAGCTGCGGCCGCTTCCGTAATGGAGGCTGAGAGCCCGCCGCCGCCCCTTCCTCCCTCGGGGCTGGCTGATCTCCATTCCCACGGAGGGGAGCAGGTATTTCCAGATGTGCATGCCGGAGAGTCGGCCGGGAGGACGCACTTTCCAGATGTGGGGATGTGTGTGCCTGTCTCAACCCCAACAGGCCCAACAGGGGCTGCTCCCGAGCCCCACTTCACTACCCCTGCTCGGGGTCCTTGCCGCTCTCAGTCATCTGTGGCCATGATGGGGCTGACCCCACCCGCCCTGCAGGGCCTGGGCCATCTGGGACCCCAGCCCTGCTCAGGACCCCCTTGCCTTGAGTGGGACCAGAGCCCATGGCTGGGCTGACAGTTCTCCCTGGTCAGGGTCCTTCCTGGCCCCTCTGAGGCCCTAAACCAGCCTGGAGCTCTAGGGACCAGTGTTGCTGAGCGACGCTCCCTTGTCCTCCTACAACCAGGCTCCCACTCCCCAAGAACCACTGGTCCTGGCCTGGCGCAGTGCCCACCGCCCCCCTCCCTGGGCCTCAGTCTCCCCCCTACGTGCTTGGGAGTCAGCGGCTCTGCTTTTCTGAGATGGGGCAGCTCCCTTCTCCCTTGGCCTCAGGCCTAGGCGGGCGAGGCTGCTCCCACCAGCAGGGGGCGCTTTGACTCTTCCGTGGAGCCCAGCTCTGCGGCCGCCACCCCACCCCCTGCACCTGCCTGGCTGCACAGACCTGCTCCTGAATGGCCCCTCTGTGTGGCTGCTGCTGGCTCAGACCCCTGCCCACCTTGGGCGGGTGGGTCTGGGTCTTGGCTGGCACGCACACCCAGGGGCCTGAAATCATGGAAAATTCGAGAATTTCCCATCTTCTCCTCCAGGTTCAGTCCTGCTCAAATGCAGAGCCGCTCAAAGCTGCCAGCTGGCTGGCCTCCCCTCCCCCGCAGCCGGCAGCCCCTTGGCCCTGCTCCTCAGTGACCTGGCCCCTACCCCTGCCTAGCCCTCCAAATGACCCAGCCTCCAGTCCCCCAAACACCCAAGGGCCCCCACAGGGAGCAGAGCAGGAGTGGTGGCCCCAGCAGCCCGGCCTCGCGGGGACCCCGTCAGACCAACCGGGTGTGCAAGCAGCTGCCAAGCTGAGGCCCAGCCACAAAGCTGGGGATTGAACCCAGCCTCAGTGCCTGGGGGACCCTCAGTCTGTAGAGCCCTGTCTGGCAGGGACTGGGCAGTTCCCCAGGGGCCTCAGGCCCTGACACAGGGGCCCAAGCAGACTGCGCTGGCTCTGAGGCCACTGGACCTTCTTTCCCAATGGGCTTGGGTCTCAGATCCCTTGGCACTCAAGTAGCCTGACTACCTTCATTTTACAGATGGGGAAACTGAGGCTTGGAAAAAGGAAGGGGTCAACCAAGCAATCCAATGGCCCTAGAACGGCTTTGCCTCCCTTTCCACCCACAGGCCCGGCCTGCATGCCTACGAAAAGGAGGACAGTGATGAAGTCCACCTGGAGGAGTTGAGTCTGAGCAAGGAGGGGCCAGGCCCAGAGGACACTGTCCAGGACAACCTGGGGGCCGCAGGGGCTGAGGAGGAACAGGAGGAGGTGATGGCTCCACCTCAGAGGGTCTGGGTGTACCCCCACCCCAGGGATGAGTCTGCCTTGGCTGTCTGCACCACTCTGTGGGCCCTGTGGGTCTAGCCCAGAGTGGGTCAGCACCCCACACCCCTAGACCTTGCAGCCCCTTCTGGGCCCACATTCTCAGAGAGGGCAAGGCTCAGTGATCCTCTTGCAAGATCCGGAGACATCTCTCCAGACTCCTCAGTCCCTCCCCACCAGCTCCAGAACTGGAGCACGTCAGGGCCACAGAGAACCTGGGGCTCAGGAAGGAACAGCATTTGTTCCCACAGGTGCTGGGCAGGGCAGGAGGGGCACAAGCAGGGGGTCACTTGGGATGTCTGTTTTTTTTTTTCTAGCACCAGAAATGTCAGCAGCCCAGGACACCCAGCCCCTTGGTCTTGGAGGGGACCATCGAACAGAGCTCGCCTCCCCTGAGCCCTACCACCAAAGTAAGTTAAGCTGCAAAGCCTGCCATCTTCTCCCCTCTCCCGTACTCATACCCAAAAGGCCAATCCCACATGCCAGCCACAGGAAGACCAGGCCCAGGCCTGGCTTTTGTCTGCTATCCCCCCATTGCCCGGTGCTCAGCGAACCCCCATGATATAAGGGTTGGGGGTTGGATTAGTGGTTGGAGTAGCTGGGGAGATGGAGGGTGGGCTTTACCTCGGCTGCTGCAGGCCTGTGTCTCTCTCCACCCTCTGCAGCTCATCGACAGGACCGAGTCCCTAAACCGCTCCATAGAGAAGAGGTCTGTCTGTCTGTCTGTCTGCTTTCTGGGCTCAGATCTTAGGTTTAACCAAGTGGGGGTTGAAGGGAGTCACAAGGTAGAGATCTGGAGACCGAGGGGGGCTCTGGGAGAGGCTTGGGCAGGTTGGGAGAAGCCTTGTGGGAGACATGGGGCCTGACACATCTTCTACCCTCCAGTAACAGTGTGAAGAAATCCCAGCCAGACTTGCCCATCTCCAAGATTGATCAGTGGCTGGAACAATACACCCAGGCCATCGAGGTATGACCTGGCTCCCCTCTGCTGTCAGGTCCCTCCTGCATCCTGGCACCATTCCTTCATCCAACCAACGCCCTTCCATCCAATCAGTGCCGCCTTATTCAACCAACACCCTATCCAACCAATGCTTCTCCATCCAGTCAGTGCCCCTCTACCCAATCAATGCCCCTCCATCTAATCAATGTCACTCCATGTAATCAATGCCCCCCCTTTCAATCAATGCTACTCCATCCAACCAATAATCTCCCATCCTATCAATGCTTCTGCATCCAATTAATGTTCCTTTATACAACCAATACTCCTGCAACCAATACTCCTCCAATTATTCAGTGTTCCTCCATTCAATCAATGCCCCCCTCGGAACAGTACTCCACCACCCAATCAATGCTCTTTCATCCTATCAATGCTCCTCTATCCAGCCAATATTCCTCCAGTCAATCAATCCCCCTTTATCCAACCAGTACTCCTTAATCCAATCAGTGCCCCTCCATCCAATCAAGATTCATCCCTCCATCCAATACTACTCCATCCAATCAGTGCCTCTGCATCCAATGTCCCTCCATCCAATCAATGTCCCTCCCATCCAATCAATTCTC
This sequence comes from Homo sapiens, assembly GCF_000001405.40. NCBI lineage: Eukaryota > Metazoa > Chordata > Mammalia > Primates > Hominidae > Homo > Homo sapiens. The sequence continues at coordinate 75,678 of NW_021160004.1, forward strand.
CTCCATCCATCAATGCTTCTCCATCTGACCAATACCCTCCATCCAACCAATACTCATCTATCCAATGAATGGCTCACCATGTAACCAATGCCAGTCCCACATGCCAGCCCCTCCATTCAATCGGTACCTCTCCATCCAATCATCCAATACTCTTCCATCCAGTCAATGTCCCTGCATCCAACCAATAGTCCTTCATCCACCAACTCCCTTCAATCCAACCAATACACCTTCATCCAATCAATACCCCTATTCATTCAGTGCTCCTCCATTCAATCAATTCCCCTCCAGCCAACCAAAACAACTTCATCCAGTCAATGCCCCTCCATCCAATAATGCCTTGCACCCAATCAATGGCCTTCTATCCCATCAATTTCCCTCCATCCAACCAAAATAGTTTCACCCAATCAATGCCTCTGCTTCCAATCAATGCCCTTCTATTCAACCAATACTTCTTTATCTAATCAGGACATCTCCATCTAACCAGTATCCTTCCATCCAACCAACACTCTACTAAATCAGTGCCCCTCCATCCACCCAGTGCCCCTCCATCCACCCAGTACTCACTTATCCAACAAGCACTCCTCTATCTTACCAGTATTCCTCCATCCAATCAGTGCTCTTCTATGCAATTAATGCCCCTCCATCCATACTTTACTCCTTCACCCAATCAGCGCCCTTCTAGTCAAGCAATACTTCTGATTTCAATTAATCCCCCTTCAACCAACCAATACTCCTCCATCCAACCAGTACTCCTCCATGCAATCAATGTTCCTCTATCCAACCAACATCCTTCTATCCAACCAATATTCCTCCATCCAATTAATGCCTCTCCATCCAACCAGTACTCCTCCGTCCTATCAATGCTCCTGTATCCTATCAATATTCCTCCATCCAACCAATACTTCCCCATCCAATCAATACTCCTTCATTCATTCACTGCTCCTCCATCCAGTCAATACCTTTCCATCCTACCAGTGCCCCTCCATCCAACCAATACTCCTTTATCCAATCAACGTCGTTGCATGCAATCAATGCCCCTTCATTGAACCAATACGGCTCTATCCAACCAATACTACTCCATTCAATCAATGCCCCTCCATCTAACAAACACTCCCTCATATAATCAGTACTCCTCCATCCAATCAATATTCCTTCATCTATCAACACCTTTCTATACAACCAATACTCCTCCATCTAATCAATGCTCCTCCATCCAACCAATACTCTGAAATTTAACCATTGTCCCTCTATCCATTCAATGTCCCTCCATCCATCCCATGGTCCCCCAGCCCTACCCCATGAGGAGCATGGAGGCAGACCCACATCTGTCCTGTGCGCCATCATCTCCCTGATGCTCTTCAGGACAGGGAGGTGTCTCACAACTGCATCGAATGGAGGAAGGCTCATCTTTCCAGTGATCCCCACTCTGGGGCTGCATTGGGAAAGCGCTCCCAGGGAAAACACAAACACAAAGCAGACGGTTGCCCAGTGTGACCCTCTGATGTGACCACGGTGGCTGTCCACTAAGGTAATCCTGATGCTTTTCCTCCTCTGCAGACCGCTGGCCGGACCCCCAAGCTAGCCCGCCAGGCCTCCATAGAGCTGCCCAGCATGGCTGTGGCCAGTACCAAGAGTCGGTGGGAGACGGGTGAGGTACAGGCTCAGTCTGCGGCCAAGACTCCGTCCTGCAAGGTAAGGTCCCCTCCAGGGGCAAGGCTGGGCTGCAGAGCCAGCGCCTGGGAGTTTAGTAGCAGGCCGGGTTTCCTTGTTAAGACAAGCATGGGACTGTCCAGGATGAATGTGGGTATACAGAACCCTGAGGTATTGCAGTAGGGTTGGGTTCACCCTTGCTGGTGTAGAAGGCTGTGTTGTCCGAGTGGAGGTAGATGGCACCTTTATTCCTTTCCCTGCCTCTTCCACTGGGATCACACAGAAAAAGTTTAGGTAGGCAGATCCCAGGCCCCCTGGCCAGGTAAGGCAAGGCGGGAGAGAAGGGCCCAGGGCTTCTACTCCCCAAGATCCAGGGGTCTGCCCTTGTGACATACCCTTCTGCTGCCCCCAGGATATTGTGGCTGGAGACATGAGCAAGAAAAGCCTCTGGGAGCAGAAGGGAGGCTCCAAGACCTCATCAACAATTAAGGTAGAGCCTAAATGTGGTTGGTGCAGGCAGGGTGGGTGCAGCAGGGGAGGGCAAAGAGGGACTGTCCTCTGTGCATCTGGGAGGGCTTCCCAGAGGCGGAGGCAGCATCATCTCCTTTCTGCTGCTCTCACCTTCACTCTTGGTCTCCTTTCCCAACAGAGCACCCCATCTGGGAAGAGGTATAAGTTTGTGGCCACCGGGCATGGGAAGTATGAGAAGGTGCTTGTGGAAGGGGGCCCGGCTCCCTAGGCGTCCCATCTCGGTGAGTCCCTGGCAACTCACAGAAGGGGATGAGGTGCACACACGTGCACTGTGCTGGGAACTTGGCAACCTGGAGGCTGCCTGGAGCCCTGTTGCAGGCTACAAGGGTGGACTCCGAGTTGGCCAGAACCCAGACCAGCTCAGTCTCCCAGTCCTGTGCAGATGCTGCCTCTCTCACCTGATACCAGATTCAAACTCTCTGCTCATTTCACTAGAGTCAGCCCGGCTCAGCCACTGCTCCACTAGGGAAGCTCAAGGCTCCCATCTGGGACTCCCCAAAAGCCACAGCAGGGCTCGTGAGGGAAGTGAGGGGCAGCCTGGCCACCACAGGGCTAGCATTGAAGGAAGCAGGTGGCATGGAGCCCAGGTTCCCTGACCATCTGTATGCTGAGGGTCCATAGAGGGGCAGGAACTTAGGTCCTACTCCCTGTCCCAGCCGAGAGCGATTCAGAGGTCCTGATGCCCTCCCCATCCCATGCTGCAGACAGAGCAGTGCCACTCCTGCCATGGTGAGACACACATTTATTAGTGACCTGGGCCCCAGGCTCCATTTCCAGCACCCATCACACCACAGGGTGGGGCAGCTGTCCTCCTACCATCTTCCCCTGCCAAACCCTGACTCTCAAGCAGCTGTGGCAGAGGCTTTTTCTGGTACCTCTGTGTCCCTCTCCTGTGGTTGGCCACCCCCACCAGAGCCTGGCTGACTGCTGAGTAGGCCCCTCCACTCTCCCCACCAGGGCCACAGCCCCTTCTCTGTCCCGCTTGGCCAAGCTGTTCCCATAGGGTTGGGACTGAGGGCTCCCTCCTCATCCAGCTGTCAAAGCCTGGGCATGGCCAGTGCTGAGACCCTCGCTGTCCCACCAGCGAATCCCTCGAGTTCTGCCCCCTCAGGCTGTCAGCCCAGGTAGGGGAAGCAGAGGTGGGCCGAGAGAGAGGTCACGCTGGGCCCTCCTCCACCCCTGATGAGCCCCTCCCTGCCTGCCCCTGAGCACTTGTATTGGTGCCAAGTCCCACGCTGGCTGAGGGCTCCCCCCTGCACCCTAGTCCCAGGATCTGGCTCTGCCATCAGGAAGCACAGGCAGCAAAACTGCTGACTGCTCCTGACGCCGATGGCCAAGCCAGCCTGACCGCACCCATGCCTCAGCAAGCAGAGATCTGGCCCCAAACCTTTGACAGCAAAAGGTGACAGCAAAAGGGAGGATCAGTGAGAGGCCCAGGCCCCTGAGGAGCCTGGGCTAGGTCAGTAGATGCAGTCCTCTGCCATCTTACCTAAAGTTTTCATCCCAAGGCCCCCATCCTACATCCCGACGCAGACCCCTTCTCTGTTCCCCTCACACCACTGCAGCCCAGGGGCTCCAGCTCGTCCTCTCTGCCCCGTCCACCTGACCACCCTCCTAACCATGCAGACTTCCCTCAGCACCCCATGTGCCCTTCCCAGGCTGCCCTGCACCCCATGCCCCTTGGGCCCTGGTGCATCTTCATGCAGCAACTATGGGCCCCCAGCTAGAGCCTCAGCCCCTTCTTCTGTCCATCCCATGGTCCTGGGCTCTGGGGGCCATTCTGGCCACTTCACTGGAGCCTCCAGCCAGTCGCTGTGCGGTTGAAGTTCTTGGGCTGGGGGCTCAGCTCCAGGATGGAGCGGACTGTGGGAGGGGGCCGGGTGGCCTCCTGCAGCTTCCGGGCGTTGAAGCGAGGCCGGTACAGGAAGGGCAGGCGGGTGAGGCTGGCTGGGGTGTGCTCCCCACCGCTGGGCCCTGCCAGGCGCCCTTGGGCCTCCGCCACTGACATGCGGTACAGCACGGCATCCCACATCCTGGAGGTCCGGGAGGCGGGGGCCCGGGGTGCGGTGAGGGCGGGCACCTCCTGCTCTGTGGGGGCAGGCACCTCCTGCTCTGTGGGGGTGGGCACCTCTGGCTCCAGGCTCTGCCGCGGCTCTGGGCACGGAGGCTCTGGGGCCTCCTCCAGCAGCTGCTTCTTGAGCCACGTCCAGCCACTGAGCCGGGGCTTGGGTGCAACTTTGGGGACAGGGCATGGGTGAGGGCCTGATGGTGGGGTAGGGGATGAGGCCCAGGCAGGGCTGGACACTCGCTCGGCCTCAGCGGCGGGGCCAGCCATCGGGGGCTCCTCCAGGTGCTCTCTGCCAGGGCCCATGGGGACCAGGCTGTGCGGTGAGGACTCCAGCGAGCGGCAGGTCGGGGCTATGGGCACCACAACCCTGGCACTAGCCTCTCTGGGCACTGAGGCCTGGAAGCCGGGTGGCGGCCGTGGTACAGGGGGCTCCTCAGGCAAGGGACTGGCAGCCTGGACTGTGGTGGGCAGTGGGCGGATGTGAGCCACTGGGACCAGGGGCTGGGCCCTGGGGGGACTTGGGGTGGCATCTCCATCCTGGCTGTTGGATCCCACTTCTGGGGCTGTCCTGGGAGGCTCAGGGGTCCCATTGTGTGGGGATGGTGCCAGCTGGATGTGCACCTGGGTGACGTGGGTGCCCCCACCCCCAGAGACAGGGACGAAGCCACTGGGGGGCCGGGTAGGTTCTGGGGCCGAGGCTACAACCTGGGGCCCCATGGCCCTGAATTGAGCAGCTAGAATCCTGCGCTGGGTGAGGCCGATGGAGAACGTGGACTTCTGCAGGGGTGATGCCACGTGGTGGATGATGGGGGTGTGCGGGGAGCGGGGTAGGGCAGCCACCATGCGGGGAGCCTCGGCGGGGCGTGGGGCTTCAGGAAGGCGTGGGGCTTCGGCGGGGTGCGGGCCCTCAGCAGCGTGCGGGGCTGTGACCTCCTGGTCATGGCTGGCCTCACTCACGGGGGACAGGGAGGTGCGGAAGGCCCTGGGTGGAGCGAGGTGTGTGCCTCCCATCATCTTCTTCCGGGCTGCCTTCCTCAGGAGCTTCTGCAAACGCAAGTTGTCCTTCCCTGGCTTGGGCAGCAGGGGCGGTGGGGGTCCAGGGGTTCCCTGGAGGCTTGGGCCGCACACCTCGGGTGCCATCGACGCAGCCGATATGAGCATGACTGTGTCCTAGGGTGGGAGGGACAGTGGTCAGGCCAGCCCTCCTCCCTCCTGAGGTGGGAGGCCTGTGTCTCCTGTGGTCCAAGGAGGACCTGGGGCCAGGGGTGTGGAGGCCTGAGTATTCTGCTTCCTGAGCACCCAGAACCTGCCAGGGACATGCTGAGCTCGACTGTGCCTTGGGGACTTTGGGGTGGCCCCACCATCACCCTAGTGTAGAAATGAGGCCACAGAGGCCGAGTCCCTCCAGGGATGGGGCTAGAACCTGCCTCCAGGGCTCTGTCCTCCATGCCACCCCAGCACAAAGCAGGCCCCAAGTACACAGCCTGGGTCAGGCCGCAACACCGTGTGGGCTGGGGTGGGAGACGGAGACGCGGGTGAGCCCCAAGTGACAGGCATGCCCCTGGCCAGCTGCTGGCCAAGCCCAGGGCTGGAAGAGCGGCTGCCCCCAGACACGTGAGGGGCGCCCTGTTGTCGCCGGCTCAACCACAGGCGCGTCCGCTGCGAGCCAGCGGTGAGGGGTGGCGGCCAAGAGGCTTGGGAAAGCCGAGGCTGCATCATCAGAGGTAGATTGGCCGGAAGGTGGGAGCAGTTTTCGCTGAGCTATGCTAAATGGGATATTCCCGCAGACCTCCTGTCTGGGGTGGCCCGGCCAAGCCGCCCACCCTGGTTTCTGGGCACCACGTGTTTGCAAGGACATTGACAAATGGCATCTGTCCGAGCCAGAGGCTCTCTGGTTTGGGGAAGGAGGGAGTCCTGGGGGCTGCCGCTGGTGGGGGCTGGCTCTGCCAAGGCAAGAACAGAGCTGCTGGAGGGGTGGGGGCGGAAGGAGCCTGCTTAGGACTGCTCTCAGCTACCGGCCTCCTCTGGATGACGGGACTGCAGGAACCACGAGAACCCCAGTTCTAGCTCCCAGGGTGGGCAGGCTGCTTGGCAGGCAGGCCGCCTTCCCTCCACCAGGAGTCAGGTCTCCAGCCAGAGGTCCTGACCCAGGGCACAAGTGCTCGCACTGGGAAGCAGGCCTCTGAGGCAGGACGTCTTCTCCTGTGGTGGAGTGGGGGTGTGGGCAGGGCAGGGAGGCCAGCAGAGAGAGGCTCGGGGAGCAGGCTCTGTGGGCTTGCAGGAGGCAGGTCTGTGGCCCCTCCCTGGACCCTAGCCTAATGCCCCCTGCACCCCATGCCTATGTTCCAGCTTCCTGGGTCTGCAGGTCCAGCCGGCTGGCACCCTCCATGTACCCAGGGGAGATTCCAGCCAGACACCCGCCCCCCGGCCCTGGCTAAGAAGTTGCTTCCTGTTGCCAGCATGACCTACCCTCGCCTCTTTGATGCCATCCGCTGCCACCTCCTTTTGCTCCTGGACCCTTTAGCCTCTCTGCCCTTCCACTCTCTGACCACCGCCCCCGCCCTCCCCACCCAGCTCCGCTTCTTGTTACTTGGGGGAGGAAAGAAACTCCTGATCATTGGCCAAAGGGACTTACCCCTGGAGAGGCCAAGTGCCTTCTAGGAAGTTAGGAGGTTGAGGCACAGCCTGTGCAGAGAGGGTGGGTCACCCCCCCAGATCCAAGGAGAAACTGCAGGTCAAGGGCTGATAACGGCCATGCAGGATGCTTGATGCTGCGTCCCCCGCTGCTTGCCGCCCCCCACCCCGCCATTTTGTATAATAAAGCTCCCTGTGTATTCTCATGTGCTGGCTGTCTTGTACTCACTAAGGGGGCAGGGCTGGCCAGGATGGAAATGTTGGGCCAGTGGCCAGCCCATTCCCACACTGCACAGCATGCTGTGGCCTCTGGGTTCAGGCAGTCTGACCTGTCTCATGGCCTTTGCAGTATAAGACGCCAGGACATAAGCTCTCTGGTGGCCTAAGTCAGAGCACACACAATGGGTGGGGTCCGGGCTTCCTTTTCCAGAATGTCTGTGATATCCCTACCCCAACCAGGACTAGCCCAATATAAACTTCTGTGCCTTGACTTCGCACCCACTGAGGGCAAGATCCACCTCGGGGCCTCCCCCAACACCACACAGGAGGTGCTCAGTGAAGGTTTGGAAAACAGACAAATGGGTGGATGGGTGGGTGGATGGATGGATGGGTAGGTGGGTGGACGAATGGATAGATGAATAGATTAATGGATGGATGAGTGGATGGATAGGTGGGTGAATGGATGGGTAGGTGGGCGAGTGGATGAATGGCTGGGTGGGCAAGTGGGTGGATGGATGGATGGGTAGGTGGGTGGACGAATGGATAGATGATCAGATGAATGGATGGATGAGTGGACAGATAGGTGGGTGAATGGATGGGTAGGTGGGTGAGTGGATGAATGGCTGGATGAGCGAGTGGAGGGATGGGTGAGTGGATGAATAGGGGATGGATGAATGGATAGAGGGATATGTGGATGAGTGAATGAGTAAGTGGGTGGGTGGGTGGATGGATGGATTGATGGATGGATGAGTGGACGGATAAGCAGGTGAATGGATGGGTAGGTGGGTGAGTGGATGAATGGTTGGGTGGGTGAGTGGAGGGATGGGTGAGTGGATGAATAGGGGATGGATGAATGGATAGACGGACATATGGATGAGTGAATGAGTAAGTGGGTGGGTGGGTGGATGGATGGATTGATAGATGGATGGATGAGTGGACGGATAAGCAGGTGAATGGATGGGTAGGTGGGTGAGTGGATGAATGGTTGGGTGGGTGAGTGGAGGGATGGGTGAGTGGATGAATAGGGGATGGATGAATGGATAGAGGGATGTATGGATGAGTGAATGGGTAAGCAGGTGGGTGGATGGATGGACTAATGGATGGATGAGTGGGTGAATAGGTGGGTGAATGGATGGGTGGGTGGGAGGATGGCTGGCTGGCTGGCTGGCTGGCTGGATGGATGGATGGATGGGTTAGTGAATGGATAGGTGGATGGATGAAAGGAGGGATGCATGAGTGGATAGGTAGATGAGTGGATGGATGGATGAAGGGATGGCTGGATGAATGGACAGAGGGAGAGAGGGGGGATGGAGGGAGGGATGAGTGAGTGAATGGGTAGGTGGGTGGGTGGATGGATGGATGGAAGGAGCGATAAATGAAGGGATGGGTAGGTGGTTGGATGGATGGATAGATAGATAATGGAGGGATTGATGAATGAAGGGATGGATGCATGGATGGGTAGATGGATGGATGGATGAAGGGATGGATGAGAGTGGATGGACAGGTGGATGGATGGATAGGTGGATGGATGAATGGAGGGATGGATGTGTGGATGGGTAGATGAAAGGATGGATGAAAGGACGGATAGATAGATAGGTGAGTGAGTGAATGGATAGGTGGATGGATGAATGGAGAGATGGATGAGTGGATGGGTAGATGGGTGGGTGGATGGATGGGTGAAGGGATAGATGAATGGATGGACAGAGAGCGGGAAGGATGGATGGAGGAAGGGATGAATGAGTGGATGGGTAGGTGGGTGGGTGGATGGATGGATGAGTGGATGTGTGGATGGATGGATGGAGGGAGGGATGGATGGATGAAGGGAGGGTGGATGAAGGGAGGGAGGGAGGGATGGATGGATGCATGAATGGGTAGATGGATAGATGAAGAGATGGATGGATGGATGGATAGACAGGTAGATGGATGGGTAGATAGATGGATAGGTGGGTGGATGAATGGATGGATAGACTAATGATGGATGGATGGATGGATGGCGGGAGGGATAGATGAAATGGAGGGATGAGTGGATGGGTAGGTGATTGTATGGGTGGTTGAAAGGATGGACAGACGGAGGGATGGATGATGGAAGAGAAGGAGGGAGGAAGGAAGGAAAGGAAGTGGTGAAGGTGAGAGTGAATGCATGGGAATGAATAGATGGGTGGATGAATGGACAACTGTGTGAAATAGCAGACAGCCTGGGGACACCCTCCCTCCTGTCCCTCCTCTCCCAGGTCTTGCACTGGGCCCTGACACTCAGCCCTGCAGCCTTCAGCGTCTGGGAAGTCCCTTCGAGGAGCAGCACCCCAGACTCTGATGTTCTGGACTTCACTTTGCCATTCCCTTGGGTCCTCACAGCCACTATTTTCTGAAGGCTTCATGTCAAACCCTGCTTGCCTCATGAATACACACAGTTCAGAAAAGCAAAACCTCGACAGAGCCACCACCCACACAAGGGAGGTGACGTGCCCCCATCCTTTCTCAGATGCCCCAGCCACTGAGAGAGGATCCAGGCCACCCTCCCCAGCTGGGGAACCACCCAGTGACAGCACTCCCTTGTTTCCCACCTGATCCGCTTGGGACGGTGACCAAGGGCAGCCGAGAGGCAGGCCCAAAGGCCACAGTTGGGCACTCAGCACTGGGGTGCAGAGTGGACAGCACCAGGGGCAGGGGGTAGTTGGGGTCAGCAGTGCTGAGGAGGCAGCCACTGCCCACCCCGCCCCCGACCAGCCCTGGCCCCTTGTCAGATCATCTGCACCCCTCGGCTCAGCCTCGAGAACAAGGACCCAGGGCCTGTCCCTCTGAGCTCTACCCAGCCACAGCCCTGCTGTGTTTCTGATGCAGCCTCCCGTCCACGGCCACAGCAACCCCATGCCCCTGCTCCTGGAAACCTGGAGGTCAGGCCATGCCCAATGCGGAGGTCAGGAGGCTCAAAAGGCCTGCAGCCTAAGAGGCCCCTGGCCAGGGATGGCAGATGAAGCCCCTAGCCTCTGTCCTGCCTGCCAGAGCAGCCACCAGACACCCTGTGACCCTTGCTACAAGCCCCTAGGCCAGCCACAGAGAAGACACCCATCATATCTGCAGAACGAGTCAATGAAACTGCAAAATCAGAAGCACTAGGCATGTGGGGAGGCAGCTACCTAGGGCTGGAGCAGCTCAGTTCCCAAGTGCTGTGTCAGCTGCTCCTGTCCTGGGCCTGGCAGTGATTGAGCCCACAGCTGGGCCGAGCGGCCTCAGGCTGGATCCAGCCTGGGGGCTCAGGTCAGCTCAGGGCATGAGGAGAGGCTCAGGACCCTCTTGGTCTCCACCACCCCCAACCATGCGCACTGGGTGCTGGGACCTAGATTGAGGGGCCCCGGCCACCATCTGGGGGCCACCCAGGCAGGGAGCTGCAGCCAAGACACTCAGGAGGCCATCCTCCCTCCCACAGCCTGCTCCCCACTCCCTGGGCTTGGCTCAGCATTTGCCAATTTCAGAACCCCCCCATCCCCCAACAACTGCCCTAGAGCCAAGGCCCCGTGGTCCGTCCTCAGACTCCTCCTGGGTGGAAATGCGTCCCCAACCCAGGCTGGGCCTCCCTTGTGCCCTGCCCCCACCCAGGTCTACAGTCCCCCAGGAGGCCCCTGCCCTGCCTCCTCTCCTTGGACCATCCCGGTCCGGCCAGATGGCAGCAGGGCATGGGTTACCTGGTGCAGGCCCTCGAGGCCGCTGGTGCCTGCTCTGTGCAGTCCCTGCTACGCCTCAGGCCCAGCGCCCGAGGGGGAGGTCGCCGATACCCAAAATAAAACCTGCCCTATCCCTCTGACCTCAGCTGGCTGGGCGGAGAGCGCCTGCCAAAGCTCCAGGAGCTGGGCGGGCAGCACCTTCCCCTGCTGGCCACACGGGGCCAGTGCAGGGTTATGGCACACCCACCTTCAGGTGCGCCCCTCAGGACCCCTGGCCTGGGTGAGGGCTTGGGTGGGCACAGGCTTCCTAGGCCTGCAGACTGAACCACGTGTAACCAGAATGGTGGGCTCAGGGCTCCGTTAGAGAAGCCGGCAGAGCGAGCCTGGAAAAGGAGGTTGGCCCCACCATGGGAGAGGATGGGGTGGGCCCGCTGACCCCCAGGGACCCGCTCACGTGCCTCTGAGGGAGCAGTTCTGCAGATGTCCCCAGTGGGCAGGAAGCTGGTCACAGATATCCAGGGGCCAGGGCTGTTTGTGGCCCCCAAAGCCTTGCCCATCGAGGACATGGACAGGGAGGGGAAGGCGTGGAATGCAGACGAAGCCACAGACCCAGAGCAGGAGGACGGCGACGTTCCCAGCAACCCCAGCTCCAAGAGCCTTCCCAGTGCCGGGCACTCAGCGGGAGGCAGGCAGGGGACCGGCCCTGTCCTTTGAAATGGCAGCCTGGGGCCAGCCCGCCTTGTCGTGTGACCCCAGGCACACCTTGCCTGTCCCTGGGCTCTGCGGCCTCGCTCTTCCATGGAGGGGTGGAATGAGGTGCCAACCACAGCCTTCCGGAAGGCCCCCGACCCGGCCCCAGGGCACTGTGAGCCCCTGCCGGGTTATCCTGTTGTCCCTGACTCTAAGCCTGGGGAGGACAGGGACCTCATCTGTGCCTCTCGGGACTCACCCCTGTCCTGGGCGCTGGCCAAGAAGGAACCAATCTGTGCCTGAACCGAAGAGTTCCGCAGACACCACCGCCCACGCTCAGCCTGTGGGGTCTGAGGGGAGTGAGGGGGTGGGTCAGGGTGCCAGACTGCTCTCCCCCACCTGGTGCCTCAGTTTCCCTGATCCAAGAGGCAGGGTTATCCAATCTGGTGGCCTCACTGGCCAGCATACAGGCCATCAGAGGCCAGGAAGGATGTCTGCTAGTCGGACGGTGCCACCTGGAGTCCTGAGGAAAGAAAACCAGTCTCCACACGCCACAATGAGCCTGTGGGAGATGCTGGCACAGATGGTAACGGCCACTGCGAGTGCCCAGGGTGGGGCCCCAGGGTTAGAAAGGGCCTAGAGGGAGGACCCAGACCCTTACCCAGCAAACTCCATGTGTAGCCCCCTGCAATGGCAGCAGCCCCGGGGGGAGGTATGGCAGACTCGGACTGCAGCCAGCCTGGCCATGTCCCTCGCCCGCTTATTGTGTAGGCCCCAACGGTGTCTAGCCAGGAAAGCAGAGCTGGCCTCTAAGAGGGTCTCAGATAGGGTGGGGGCCTGGCCTCAGTTCCATGGGGGGTCTCCGAGGCCTCAGGCTGCTTCCTCCCCGGGGGAGACAGCGAAGGGCCTGGGGCATTGGGCCGGGCGGCGGGAGGGGACCCCGGCTGTGCGGACCCTTTTCCTGGACAAATGTTTACTCCCACAGAACATCTCAGAGAGAAGGGGCGGGGGGGTGGGAAACCCGGCAGCCTGGCTCTGGGGACCCCCACACTAGTTTGGCCCAAAGAGAGCCTCGGCTTGGTGCCCCGGGGCCACCCAACACCTTCCTCCTCCCTCCTCAGCCCATCCAGAATGTACCCGCTGCTGGGAGTAAAAATAGCAGCTGACACCTCCTGGAGGCGGAGGGAGGACCTTGCCTCCTTCTCCAAGCACGTCCTCTGCATCCTGGCCTCCTTCAGCCTCCTCCTCTGGCCATTCCTATACTTGGTAAGGGGCCTGCACGGGCATAGCCCCCCCCAGCAAGACTCCGCACACACCCCGGCCACCCAGTCACTGGCCAATGGGCTCCTAGGAAGATCAAATGTCACTATAACACGAGGGTGTGAGCCGGGCGCCAGTGCCTGCAGCCGGTGCTGTCCACAGGGAGCTCCAGCCCTTCTCACACTCGACCCGCAGGTGGGTATAGGCAGGAGCGGCCACCCAGGACTGGGGCCGACGGGGCCTCCTGCGTGCGGGTGGACAGCCCCTCGTTCCAGGGACACTCTGGGGTCCTGGGGCGCTGAGGTCCCAGGTCCGTGTGGTGCCGAGCATCTCGAAGCATCATGGCTCGGAGCCCCCAGGTGGCTGCTCCAGCGTCCGGAGAGTCTGGGATGCGGACATGGTGGTGTGATGGTCTCAGCACCGGGAGGATGCAGAAGAAGGCAGAGTGTGGGAGGCCAGGAGGGGGCAAGTCGGGGCTCAGGGAAGCTCAGTGCTAGGGAGTGGCCTGAGGGCAGGAGGCAGAGAGGTGCGGGCTGTGAGCGGCAGGGAAGAGGCTGTGCAGGGGTGCTGCCAGGGCTTAGGTTGCCAGCTTGTGGTCGCCATGCAGACATTTGCCCAGGCCCGTCCTGGCCTTGCCATGCAGCTCTCGCACCTGGGCCTCCAACACCGCCATTTTGTAGAGATGAAAACGAGGACAGGAGGGCAGGGGCTCCTGTATGGCCAGCCCGAGTGTGTTGGGGTGGGGGCGTCTAAAGCCCACGCAGCCTTGGGGGCCAGCGTCTGGAGGTGCAGGACAGAAGTGGACAGGGGCTGGACTGGGGCAGGACGGGGCAAGAGTGAGGGGCTGGGCTTCATCGCGTCCCCCTGGCTGGAGGCTGGAGAAGCTGGCGCTCGTAAGAGCCCCCACCCACCCTCCCTGCCCTGGACACGGTCCCCCTGACTTGTGCCGTCTGATCAGGCCTTGGCTGCCCCTCCTGAAGTCCACGGAGGGACATGGGGCAAAGCAAAGGTTGGCTGGGTGGAGAACAGGTCTGGGGGCATGGTCAGGGCCACAGCAAGCGAGGGGCAGCGGCTTTTGCCTCCCCACCCTGCCCTGGCCCCGTCACCTCCCAAGGAGGGAAAGGTGATGCATACGTGCCCGAAGAAACCGACCGCATAGGTTATTTTCACGCAGCCCCTCCAAGGCAGGCACTAACTGGACACCTGCTTTGCGTCTCAGCTGTTGAAATGCCATCCCCTGCCCCCAGCACACCCCTGCCCCCAGCACACCCCTGCCACCAGCCCCTCCCCGCAACAGAGGCAATGACACAGGCCATACTGGGGGGAACAGAACAGCCTTGTGTTGCTTCCAGGCGCTCAGCAGAAAACCAGGCGCCTCAGTTTCCCCACTTGGAGAGTGGGCCTTTCCAGCGCACGTCGGGGGGCCTGGAGGTCACCCTGCCTGAGGGTGTTGGGGCACCCATGTGACTCTGGCCTGGGGGGACAGGAGGGAAATATGAGGAGCTGGGGAGGGCCTGGGTGCCCGAGGGTGAGGGGGCAGCTGTGGGCCAAGGAGGGCTGGGCTGTCACACCCGCCTCACCCACGTCTTGGGTTTCTGGGCAGAAACGTCTTGCCTATTTCTGGACACCTCAGCTGCCACTGGCTCCTTATAAATAACCCACCCCAGGCGAGGGCCACGCTGCCCCCATCTTGTGGCAGCCGACAGGTGTCTGCCCCGCCAGCGTCGGGCTGGGCACAGCAGGGCGGGGCCAGGCTCCGCTCCCTCCCTTCACTGACGCTCCTCCTCCTTACAGAGGATGGCCCTAGAGGAGTCTGTGGCGTTTGGGGCCTGAACCAGCTGGGAGGACAGCACGAGGGGCTGGTGGGCAGCCTGGGACTGGGTCACACCGGGGGCCTGGACAACACTGGCTCGTGGGGCTGAGGACTGAGGAGAGCCTGGCCCAGCCGTGGCAGTTACAAGAGGCTTAACCTGAGGGGCAGCAGAGTCTCAGGAAGAGATTCTGGGATAGGAAAAAGCTACCCCCGTTGCCTGGAAGACAGCTATCTGCTGGGTAATTTTGCATGGAGCTTAAGTTGCTCTGGGAAAATTAACATTCTTGACAGAGGGTTTGGAAAACGGTTCCCACCTCAGCAGTGCAACGTAGATGCATTTTTAGCTGATGAACGTGTGTTTTCCTTATACAACACTCCCAGGGGGGACCGTAGCTATTGTCTTCGAGTAATCTGTACTGTGTTGTAATGAACTTTGTTTTCTAAAACCCTGGCCAACATGCCGGTGCAGCTGCTCAGAGCCTCCCCAGGCCTGGCCGCCCAGTGTGCACAGTGGCCAGCTCACAGAGAGACGGTCCCCAGCATGCTGGCCTGGCGCCACCACCGCACATGGACAGGGCAGCCAGTCCTGGGCATGGAGCTTCCTCTAGACAGGGACAGATCCAGAGCATCCCCGGGACCAGGGAAAGCGGCCACAGGGAGGGAAATGGGGGGGCTGTTCTGTGGGCTCCTGCAGTCCAAGTATGCCTTGTACAGAGCCCGGCCCGGGGGGGTGCACGGGAAGCGGCCCAGACCCAACCCAACGTGCTCTGGGGCTCAGCCTCAATGTTTTCAGGGTACAGGGGTAACAAGAAGGAACAGCTTCCCTGCTCTGTGATCTTGGAGGAGGGGTCCTCAGAGGGGTGTGGTGGGACACACTCTGGGCACCCCATAGGAAAACAGGCACAGAAGGGAGCTTTGGGCTCAAATAGGGAAGAGGGGTTCTCATGGGGAATGGTAGGGTGAGCAGATTACTCATCTTGGGGAGCCAGTCTCGATCATCCAGGGGCTCCCAGGGAGACCCCACCTACACCCACTGGGCAGAGAACACCCAGAGACAGGTTTCAGCTCCATCAGCGGGACCTTTCCAGTGTCTAGAGTGGGCTGGACGGCACACGGCCTGCATTCTGGATGACCCTCCTCAGGGGACGCCACGGAGAGGATGTCTGCCCTGGGTGGGGGTGGACGCCACGACCTTCCAACATCCCTTCCAGCTCCAAGATTCCAAGCTCCAGTCTGGAGCCAGGGCAGGAAGAGGGGACAGAGTCTGGGGCGCCAAGAGCTGGGAGGGGCCAGGAGCCCTGGAGAAAGGGGAGGCCCAAGGAGGTGGACTCACCCAAGGCCAGAGCTGGCCCCCAAACCCTGCCCGCGGTCCCCCACAGCGCTGCTCCAAGACCCCATCCCCCATCCTACACCCAGGCAGCTCGTAACTCTCTTTCCATCCTCTCTCTCTCTCTCTCTCTGAATCTCTCTCTGCAGAAACCACCCACCTTCACCATGTCTGACGAGGAAGTGTGAGTACCCAGCTGGTGGCTGCCCCCTGCCTGGCTCGGGACCCTGGCCCCTTGGCTTCTGTGGGGCTGGAGCATGCGCTGTCTTGCACAAGTCCAAGCAAAGCCCAGCCTCACTACCTCTCTCTCTTTCTTTCTCTCTCTCTCCCTGCCCCACAGTGAACAGGTGGAGGGTAAGTGTAACAGCCATTTTCTTTCTACTTCCTGCTCTAGAAGGAAGGCTCACATGTGGGCAGGGGGCTGGACTGTGCATACCCTGTGTCCCCTTGACAGCCCTACATCAGCTGCATCCCATGGGTGGCTTCTGAGTGACCCCCGGAAAACAGCTGTCCAAGTGGGGGGCCTCGTCTTTTCCCCGAAGTGTGGCCACATGGTCCTGAGGGGCCTGCAGGTCAGGCTCTGGGTCCTGTCTCTCTGCTTCTCTCATGCCCACTGTGGGACGTGGGCATCCAGGACCCCCGAGCCCCCCAAAAGCCACCATCATCACCAGAGCCTCTGCCTTCCCCAGCGCCTCCTCTGGGCCCGAGGACCCCTGATTCCACGCTCTTGGGCAGGGGCAGTCGCTGGCCTGTCCAGGGCCGGGACACACTGGCCTCTCATCCTCCTCCTCCCTTCACGGGCTGCCCCTTCTAACGTGGTTCCCCTCTTTGTTCTGTCCCAATGCAGAGCAGTACGAAGAAGAAGGTAATTCTGGCAACCACCGGAAGCCCCCCCAGCCCCTCCTTGGAACTTAACCCCCCTCTCCCGTGTGGCGCTCACAGAACCCCCTCCCCAGGCTGCTCCAGGCCGCCTTGAGCTTGTCAATCAACCTTCCATCTTCCTCATCATTAGTCACTAACAATCACCATTCATCATTAATTAATGATAAATGAGGCCACCACTTAATTAATGATGGATGAGTCATTAAATCATCACTAACCCCTGTCTCTTTAATCGATTAATATGCATTCACGATCCTTCATTAATCCTTCATCCTCCGTGTGCCATGGTGTGTGGAGTTCACTGGGGCTGGTCATGAAGGCCTCAAAACACCGAGTGCCCTGCGTGCCCAGTGCTGCTGTCTCTCTGCCTCTCTCTCTATCTCTACCCTCCCGGCATCTCAGAGTCTCTCCATCTCTCTCCAGTTCCTTTCCGTGTCTCTCTTGGCAACTTTGTCTCTCTGTGTGCCTGTGTATCTCTCAGCTTCTCTCTGTCTCTGTATCTTTCAGCCTCTTGGTCTCTGTCTCTCCCTGCCTCTCTCTCTCAGTCTCTGTCTTTCTTGGCCTCTCTGTCCCCATTTCTCCACCTCCATCTCCATCTCTGTCTCTCTGTGTCTCCATCCCTCCATGCCACCCCCCCACCCTGTGCTGTAACCCTGGGTGGAGCCTGGAGCCCCCTCCCTGTGCTGGCCAGGTGTGGTCTGTGGGCGTCTCCATCGTGCCCGGGCAGGCGTGGGCGGGTGTGGGCGCACCTGGGAACCGTGTGGGGTGGCGGTTCTCAGGCCGACGGCGCTGCCCTGGAATCCCTGGCACCCACTCAACTGGGGAGCGCGTTCACGCAACCTTAGCAGGCAGGGCTGTCCTGTGAGGAGTCCTGAGTGCTATGTTTTGAAAATATTTTGAAAACACTTGGCTACCCTAACAACGTGAGCAAAACATTTATTTTTCTGCCGAAAAGGTGGAAAGACTCATTTCTGCGAGGGAAATATGGCACTGGGGAGCCATCTTTTCTCTTGGGGCAGCCACGTGGCAGGCCGGGAGGCCACGGAAGGGTCTTCGTGCGACATATCTCTGAAGACCCCTCAGTGCCAGCCTTGTTTCCGGGTGCACTCAGAGCCGGGGCTTCCCGCAGGCCCTGTGGGTTCTGTCCCCGTTCTCACTTGTGTCACCTGCAGAGCAGGACTTAACAAGGGCCCCCGTGCACAGGCGCCTCCAGGCATGGGAATACCAGGCCCCCAGGAGGGTGGGAGGGGCCTCAGAACCCCTCTCAGGGGCCGGGCCCAGCCCAGCTGACAGTGACCAGCTCTGCTGGTGGGAGTCCGTGCTCCCCGGGGCTGGCCAGAGATGCAGGACTGAGCCCCATCTTTCACCCCTGCCAAGCGAGCCCCAGGCCCTCTTCTCCCGGCCAGCCGGCCTCCTGTCCTTGCGGCCTGAGTACACTCTGATCACTGTCTCTGTTCCCTGTCTCCCTCAACCCCGCCTTCTCCTGCTCCTGGCTTCTCCGGCTCTCAGAGGAAGCCCAGGAGGAAGGTAAGTGGGGTCCAAGGCCCCGGCCCCCATGCCCACTCCCCAGCCTTCCCGCCCCACCCAAAGTTGACCTCCACCCCGCCTCTAAGGATTGCTGTGTGCCCCTGTCTAACCCTCTCCTCTCTCCCCCGGCTCTCCTCAGCTGCAGAAGTCCATGAGGAAGGTATGAGGACACAGGACTTCTTGTCCCCATGTGGGGCCCGGGGCCTGGCTGGAGCCCATGTGGGGGTGGGGGAGAGGGGGAGAGGGTGGGGAAGCCACGAGGTACCAGCCAGCCAAGGGGCCCCCACATGTGGCCCTAATGTAACCCACTAACCGCGGCCAATGCTTGACCAGAGAGAGAATGGGGTCTCGAGGGTGGGCCCCCTTCCCCACAGCCCCCCAGGCAGTAGGGCCAGGGACTCCCCAGGCAGGTGCAGGCTGGGCTGCTGGTCAGCAGGGTGTCCCCAAGCATGGGGCAGAGGGGACACGTAGGCCCACCCTAGTCCTCCACCCCAGGGTAGGCAGTCCAGAGCCCGTGGTGGCGTCGACCCCTGGGCCTGGCCAGGACGCCCGCCACATCTTGGGATGGCACAGAGTGAGGGGAGAGAAGGCGGCTGGGGGCAGAACCCTGCAGCCTGGCACAGTCAGCTCCCTCGTGAGCATGCCCTCGTCAGCCCCCCAGGCCCCCTCACAGCCTTCTGCTATGAGACCCTTGAGGTGCACACAGGCTGGGAGCAGATGGGAGGGCTGGGGTCCCATGCCCAGATCAGCAGGCAGAGCCATCACTGGTGCCCAGGGCTGCCAGCACCCTTGGAGGGTGGAAAGAATTCCATCAGGGAAAGAACGAGTGGGCCCCCAGCGTTGGGATGGCAGGAAGTGGGGGTCCTGGGGACGCCTTCCATGGCCCATCCATGGCTCTGCCTCCCAGGGCTACCAGCACTGCCTTTGTGGGCCCTTGGTGCCACCCGGCCAGGCTACAACCTCGCACGTGGGCCTTGGTGCCCCGGCCAGAGGCGCGGACACCCTTCTGGGGGCGCCCCAGGACAGACAGGGGATGGGGGCGAGCAAAGGAAGGCCCAGCCCCAGTACTGAGCCTGCTGCACCAAGGACAAGAGCCACAGCTCCCGGCCATCCTCTGAGCCTCAGTTTCCCCACCTGGGGTGCTCCCAGATGCTGAGAGCAGGGTTTGGGGACATGGGACTGGGGCGGTGGCCGCGCCTGGGCTAACTCTGACCGTGTCTTGCTCGCTACCCGCACGCACCCCACCCTCGGCCTCGAGTGGCGACGGGCTTTTCCATTAACCTCGGACGCTTCTCCATTGACCTCTGACCCGCGGTTTTGCCTCTTGTTCCGTGGCCTCCTTGGCCCGTGAAGTTCATGAACCAGGTACGTGCATGACTTCGATGCCACATGGGCACGTGTGGCCATGTGGGGGGTGCAGGACCCAAGAAGGAACAAGAGGGGCCGTGTAACCCTGCACAGCCTGGCCTGCTCGCTCCGCCGCCTCGGCCCTGCCCGCCCTCCTCTCTGCGCTGCCACCACTCACACTGGTCCTCTCTCTCTCCCGCCCTTTCTGCCACCATGACGCTGCTTCTGCAGAGGAAGTTCAAGAAGGTACGCCGGCGCTCCCCCGCCTCCAGGCCAGAGTCTCCGTCCTCCCTTCTGTCCTCTCTTGCTTCCTCCCTCTTGCCCACCCCTTGTGACGTTTGCCACCAACAACTGAACCCGTTCTGGCCTCTGGGCTGGGGACAGAGTGAGGACCCTGGCTTGGGAAGGGCTGGCCGGTACAGTGCAGGCTTCCTCTGTGTCTCCCAGGCAGAGAGGATTGATTCCATAGCCTGGGGACAATGAGGCCCTTCCTGGGCTGCCAACAGGAAGGTGGGAGGTGGGGGTGGCCAGCCTTGAGGCCGAGGCAGAGCAGGCCTTGGGAGGACGGTGCTGGGGTCCACTGGGACCCTCTGGATCCACCAGGGTGGGGTGGGAAGAGCGCAGGAGAGGCCTCCACCCTGCCCCAGTTAGCAAGCCAGAAGCGGGAAGGTAGGGAGGGGTGAGGTGGAAGGGAGGGTGGAGGGGCAAGTGGAGTGAAGCAGAAAAGCAGGCTGAGGCCCAAGGTGGGGACGCTGGGGACCCGGAACAGCCAGGGGCCATGCGTGCAAAGGCCCAGTCAGGTCCCAGCATCCCACCCATTGCCTGGGCCTGAGCCAGACACACCCGGAGTGAGGAGGCCCCCTGGGTGGGCCTGCCCTCCCTGGTAGTGGGGCCGGCTGTACTGGGTGGAGGTCAGAGAGCTGCACATTCAAGTCAGGGGCCCCAGCTGGGGAGTGCTTCTCAGCTCCCCCCGTTCATGGGCCGTGGGGCTGAGGGGCTCCTCCCTGCCGGGCCTGAGCTCTTGCGTGACTCGAGCCTCGGAGAGGCCCCTGGACAAGAAGGGACATGCTGGGAGGGGGATGGGACTCCAGCCATGCAGGGAGGTGTCCAGGAGATAGCCTGTGGGGATGACAGGGTTGCTGGGCCGCTCTGGAACCAGCACTGAGGCCAGCGGACAGACGGACAGCAGGGCAGGGTGGGGCAGGAGCAGAGGAGGCAGGGCCGCAGGACAGCTTTTGCCGCTTGGCTGTGTGCTCGCTCCCCGAAATTGCTCAGCCTCCCACCCGACCTCGCCCTCCTCCCTGGCCGGCCTTCCCACCCGGAGGGGCTCCTCAGCCACGCACTGCGTCCAGCAAAACCACTAAGTCAGGGAGGCCAGGGCGGGCAGCCCATTCATCGTCCTCACCGCGCTGTTCCTTCCGGGCCCTTGGCTGGAACGCTCAGGATGCCCCACCGCTCACTCCCGGTGCACATGTGCCCCAAGGCATCCGGAACGGGTGACCTCAGGCCCACCTGCAAAACCAAGAGCGCTGGCGGGCTCTCTGTGGTGTGCAGGGGGCTCCCAGGCAACCGAGGTATCTGCCAGCGAGGAGGACTCAAGGACCAGTGCACCCCAGGCCAGGCACTGGCAAGGCAGGACCCCCACCCCCGGGCCCAGGCCTGCTGGCCTTAGCCAAGTGCAGGGGACAGCGCTGGGTCAGACTTGGAGGGCCGAGGGCATCGTGTGTCAACGGCCTTGCTGCCACCTAAGGCCCAGAGCAGGGACTGAAGGGACAGAATGGGCGGGTGCCACTAGGCCAGCGGCAGACCCCCCTCCTGGGCCCCAGCTGGGCCAGGCCAGCCAGGTCCACCCCAGGGTCTAGGAGCAGAGTGTATCCTAAAGGAAGCCACCCCTTATTAGGGTGGCCAGGGCAGGCCAGGCAGACCCCAGAGGTGGCCAGGGAGAGGTAGCAGGGGGGTCCCAGAGGGGCCCAGTCTCAGGACAGCAGCCATGTGGCAGTCAGAGGGCAAGCCCCAGGGAGGTCAGGGATGAGTGCGCCTGGGCTCCTGGCCTGTGGGTGGGGGCTGTGGTGGACATTCCGGACTCAGGCGGGGGCTCCTGGGGCTGAGACCAGCAAGGAGTTAGACATCACGTTGCCGGCAGAGGCTCCTGAGGCCTGAGGGCTGTAGTCATTCCATGAACTGCTGGGTTCCACCCAGTAACACAGCCTTTACAGGCAGGGGTCAGGCTCCGGGAAGCACGAAGCAAAGGGGCTGCACCCACCCCGGCTGCAACGCCCTCTTGGTGGAGAGGGTCTCAGATGCCAAGGTTGGCCCTGCCAGACCCAAGAGGACAGACCGGGGGGACAGATGAGACCCAGTGCCCTTAGCCCCACCTTGCCCCGCGAGGTCCCCGTGTCCCTCCTATTCTCCACTAGGTCTTCCAGGCAGGAGCTCCACTGGGCACCCAGCCCCTTCCACCCCCTCCCCAGGCATTGATTCACCGGCCCCAGCTTGGGGCACTTGTAGGGCCCCGCAGGCACACCCTGGAGAAGAGAGTGTCCGAGTGAGAGGGGTGGGCCCCTTGCCCGCCACAGGCCCCTTGCCCACTGCTCCCCCGCAGCCGCGCTGGCTTTTCTCTTGCATGTGTGCTTGTGCCTTTTGCCACCTGGAAGACACCGCAGAGGAGGACGCGGAAGGTAAGGGCCCGTCCCTGCCGCCGGAGGTGCAGGACCCTGGCTCTAGCCGACGCGAGGGAAAGAGGACAGGCTGGGGTCTCTCGCTGCCCTGCCTCCTCCTCCCTCTGTCCTCTTTCTCTTCCCCTGGCACGGGGGCCTCGGAGGGCCAGGCCTTGCTGCTCCGCACGGTGCCGCTGGGGTCGAGCTGCCAGGGCCTCGCGGGTGCCACCGCTCCGAGCTTCTGCCACACAGCGGAGGGGGAGTAAGCGGGACCAGCCAGCAGTGCCAGAGCCCGGGCCGGGCACGCCCCCCTCCCCTTTCTCCCAAGCCCCTTTCCTCCCAATCTTCTTCCCGAGCCCCTGTCCTCTTTGCTCCGTCTCCTCCCTTCCCAGCCTTCAAGGACGCGGCCTGTCTCGCTCCTATTTCTTCCCTACCTCTTCCTCACCCTTCCTCCTGGCCCCAGGCCCTGAGCTCTTCCCCTCCAACCCTGCCAGGGGCTTTTGCAGGCCTAGAGCAGAAACAGGACCCTCTTGTTTCTGGGGGTTGGGGGTACGCCCAGCTGAAAAGGACGGCGGCCTTCAGTGAAGGGGAACCCAGGGCCGCAGGCCGCCCAGTCTCACCCAGGCTGTCTCTCTCCCTCTCCCCACGCTGGTGTCCCTCTCCCTACGCTGGTGCTGTGTGGACCAGAGGAGAAACCGAGACCCAAGTGAGTGTGGGGTCCTGGCAGGCCCGCTGCTGAGTGTGTTCTGGGGTGGGGGTGGTCAAGTGAGTGTGGGGTCCTGGCAGGCCCAGTGCCGAGTGTGTTCTGGGGTGGCGGTGGCCAAGTGAGTGTGGGGTCCTGGCAGGCCCAGCGCCTCGTGTGTTCCGTGGTGGAGGCGGAGGAGAGGGCCAGGGCCAGATGCCTGGAGCCTGCATTCGGAGGGACGCTCAGAGCGCAGGGTGGGAGGGATGAGGGTCACCTGGGAGATGGGCTTGGGAGGCCCAGCAGGGTGTGATTTTGCCCAGGGTCATCCAGTGCAGACAAGGAGGGCTTCCTGTAGGAGGAGGCTGCAGACGAGGAAGGAGGGAGGAGAGGTGGGTGGGAGAGAGTTGAGGAAGGAAGGCGGGGCAGCTGGTGCAGGGAGTCTGGCCACCGCAACACCCCACGGCCTTCGGGGGACCACACCAAGCCCCGCCATACTTCTAGGACTCCCAGAGTCCTAGATTGAAAAGCGACAGGAAAGTGAGTCCGGAAGTGGAGAAAGGTGGGGGACTCAGCCCAGAAACCCACTTCAGAATGACACCTTGACCGTGTCCAGAAGAGCTCACTGTGCAGGGGCCCCTGCTCCCCTTTGGGGCAGAATTCAGAGGAGCTTGTCCTCATCGCACCTGCTTGTGAGCACTTCGTGGGTTGGTTTTTTTAATGCAGCTCTTCTGACTTTTCTGCTTTTGATCGGTATTCACCAGCCACAGCACTCGCTACGTGATTCACCCTTTTATCTCTCGAGTGCTCTTGCCTGTGTGTTGCTCTGTGCGAAGTGGAATCTTAGAGCATCTTGACACACACTCACTGTTGGCTCCCACTTGGGGAGCATTGCAGATTCTCAGAAGAGTGAGAACATCTGAAGGGTACAGCCGGCGTATTCCCACCCTTTGCACTGTATTTTTCAGTGATTTTAAGTACAGTAATGCTGGATCATGAGATATTTTCTCATTTTAGAAAAATTGTTTGTGTTTTCATTATGAAAATAAGACACCTCATGAAAGAAAATTTGGAAAATATATAAAAGTCAAATGAAGAAAAAACGTCATCTATAATTCTCCCACCCAGCCAGCCAGACTGTGGAAAAGAGCAGAAAGAAATAAAAAGCCTTATTTCTTCCTTTTTTCCATGCATAGCGCTTGGAAAAAAAAGATTTAAAGTCGGCCTTGTTTTTCAAACATCATACCGTCTCTACGGCCTTGAATTCTGCTTTTTTTAAAATTTAGCACTATTCATAAGTATTTTTCCATGTTTTTACACAGTCTTCTTAAATATTTTGAATGGCCACATAATATTCCATCAATTGGACAAACCATAATTTTCCTAACCATTCCCCTATTGCAGGCTTTCCCCAATATTTTACTATCATAAATAACGCTGGTTGGAAAGCGTTTTCCATCTTTAGGGTTATTTCCGTAGGCCACATTCCCAGAACTGGAATTACTGGGTCAAAGAGTATGAATGTTCTTAAGGCTTTGACATCCACTGCCAAATTGCTTTCCACAAGGGCCTGGCCAACGCCGTCTCCTACGTGGGATGTGAGCGGGTCTGTGTCCCACACCCTCCTCACCCAGGGACAGGAACGTGCTTTTACATTGCAGCCTCTGATGGATGAGAAACGGCACCTCATGATTCTTTGGCTTTGCGCCCTAACAGTCACTCGGGGCCAGCGTTTCCCTGAGTTTGGGATGGGTCGTCTCTTCTCTGAGAACTCGTAGCTACGGCCATTGCTCATTTGTCTCCTGGTGGAGGAATCTCTGTGTTTTCTTAGTCATCAGTTTGCATAAGGATATAAGTCTTCTCTGTATTTGCTGAAAATTTTTTTTAGTCTTTTTTTTTTGCCTTTCCATTTTCCGTTTTTTTTTTTTTTTTCACATACATACGTTTTTCATTTGCGTGGTGTCATCTGGCCTTCTTTCCCTTAGAGGCACCTTCTGGTGCTCCTGAGCTTAGGAAACCCTTTCCTGCTCCAGTTTCTGATTGATATTTAGTTCCACTTTCTTCTATGGTTTGTTGGAAAAAATTGTTGTTGTTTTAACTCTTTGCTGCATCTGGAATGTATTGGTGAGAGGAGGGGACTGCACACCCAGCCGGAGAGGGGGCCTCATTTCCCCTTCAGATTGCTTTCTTCCCAGCCCCCTCTCCTCCTTCCTTTGGGCCCCCAGAGAGAAAGATGAAAGAGGGGCTGGGGAAAGGCACAGGCTCGCAGCAGCCATTCCTGCCCAGGGAGGCCACCGCCACCCACAGTGGCCATCGCTTCTCACCCGACATGGCTGCATTTGTTTATCTGTTTGAGGAGGAAACAGAGGTGCCCTCCCTGGTAGCTGGGGTGCAGTGACATTGCAATGGCCAGAAGCCAAAAGGCAGACGGTGGCGCTGGAAGCGGAAGCCTTCTTGAGGGGCTCAAGCCACTCTCAGGATGGTGGGCTACAAACCTCATAAGAATAAAGCTGGGGCAAACGTGTCACTAGGCGGGCATGCTTGGCTGGGGGCCAGAGCAGGAGGGCACCAGGGTTGGCAGGGGCCAGCGGGGAAAGCGCCAGGCTGACCCTCTGGGGTGGGTCTCCGGGTCTCTGCTCACGGGCCTCTCTGTCTCCTCTTCAGACTCACTGCTCCTAAGATCCCAGAAGGGGAGAAAGTGGACTTCGATGTAAGTTTACAGGACTCTGGTTAACATGTCCACGGTTTCCCCACACCCCAGCTTTTGGGCTCTAGGCCTCAGAAGGTCACTTCCTCCCAAGTAGCCAGAGCCGGGGCCTCCTGGGTCTGGGCAATTCTACCATAGCTTATTCCTGGGCCAGAGGAAACCCCTCTAAGAATAAGCATCTCTCTTCCCTTCTCCTCCATCTATCCTTCTATCCATCCATCCACCCACCCACGTAAGCTCCTACCCATTCACCTATCCATTCATACACCCACCCACACACCCATCCACTCAACCATCTATCCATCCATTCATCCACCCAACCACCCACCTACCCATCCATCCATCCATCCATCCATCCATCCATCCATCCTGCCTTACTTCCATCCATCCAACCAGCCACGTATCCACTCACCCATTCATCCATCCATCCACCCACCCAACCACCCATTCATACTCACCTACCTATCCACTCACTCATCTCTCCACTCACCTACTCGCTCACCCACCCATCCACCCATCCATCCATCCATTCATACCACTCATTCATCTACTCATCCATCCATCGATCCATCTATCATCCACTCACTCACATAACCATCCACTCATCCACCCTCCCACCCACCCACCCATTCACCCATTCATCCTCCCATCCACCCACCCACCCACTCACCCACCATCCACGCATCCTCTACCATTAATCCACATAATCATTCCTCCACCCATCTACCTATCCATCCATTCATCCATCCATCCATTTCTCCAATCATCCATCTATCCACCCAGTCATCTGTCTCCATCCTCTCTCACTCATCCACCCATCCATCAGCTCATCTGTTCACATGCCTACCTATGTATCCAACAATTTCTCTCACTCTGCAGTCTTCTCTCTGCCAGGCCCATGCAGGGCATCTCTGAGGATGATGACAGAGCCAAGTCAGGGCCAGTCCATCCTAAGGATGCTGAGGACCTTATGGCTGGGCACCATCCCTGCTGTGTGGCTCAGGAATCAGGCCACCCTCGGCCCCTATGAGGATAGCAGCCATGGCAATGTGGAGAAGGCAAAACATTCCTTGCCACTTGCCATTTTCATGGTGGCCAAGGGAGTCAGGGCTTCTCTGCTGGGGCAAAGGAAGGGACCTCTTGCTGCAAGGCAGGCCAGGCAGGGCAGAGGTTGGAGAGAGGGGTGGGGCTCACACCCACTGCCCCTGCCCACAGGACATCCAGAAGAAGCGTCAGAACAAAGACCTAATGGAGCTCCAGGCCCTCATCGACAGCCACTTTGAAGCCCGGAAGAAGGAGGAGGAGGAGCTGGTCGCTCTCAAAGAGAGAATCGTGAGTGGGGCAGTTCAGGTTGCAGCAGGGGCTGGTGGACTCCCTCGGAGGAGCCGGGGACAGGGCTGAGCAGACCCCCTTCTCTGGCTGCAGGAGAAGCGCCGTGCAGAGAGAGCGGAGCAGCAGAGGATTCGTGCAGAGAAGGAGAGGGAGCGCCAGAACAGACTGGCGGTGAGGGCACCATCCGCACTGCTGCCTCATCAGAGAATGAGCCCCAGGCCCAGAGAAATGCAGGGGGCTGAGGCCTTCCTTCTCCCGGGGTTCCCATTGTCATTGGCCAATGATCAGAACCACTGGCTAAGGCCCCGGCGCCCTGCAGAACCCCTTGCCAGAAAACAAATCCTGGCCAAGACCTGGAGCTTCCTTCCAGATAGTTCTAAGCCCAGGGTGGGCCCTTCCAGACAGCTCTAAGCCCAGGGTGGGTCCCTAAAGCCTGCCCAGAAAGCATAGCCCTCTCTCCATCCCTGAGCATCTTGGGAATGGGGTCTCCACAGGAGGAAAAGGCCAGAAGGGAGGAGGAGGATGCCAAGAGGAGGGCAGAGGACGACCTGAAGAAGAAGAAAGCTCTGTCTTCCATGGGAGCCAACTACAGCAGCTACCTGGCCAAGGTGTGTGCCGCTGCTGGGAGCACGGTGGTAGCCTTCAGTGTGGGCTACGCCCTGTGCCCTCCTGAGACCAGGCCCCTCTCTTTGGGCCTGTCCGCTGCAGGCTGACCAGAAGAGAGGCAAGAAGCAGACAGCCCGGGAAATGAAGAAGAAGATTCTGGCTGAGAGACGCAAGCCGCTCAACATCGATCACCTTGGTGAAGACAAACTGAGGTGAGGGGTGGGTGTTGTGGGGCTCAGCCCCACGGGGTGGCCCCTGCAGGAGCTGCCGACTGCTCCTCAGGCTGCCAAGGACCGTGCTCCCCAGTGGCTGCAGGAGGACTCCAGGGGCCTGGCCCTGCCTTTGGGGCTTATTCAACGAAGCCTCACCACTTCCTCTGCCCCAGGGACAAGGCCAAGGAGCTCTGGGAGACCCTGCACCAGCTGGAGATTGACAAGTTCGAGTTTGGGGAGAAGCTGAAACGCCAGAAATATGACGTGAGTCCCGGCACCTCCGGCCCTGGGGCCCTAGCGGCTTTCACCCACCAGCAGAGCAGCCACCTCCCTGCGTCCCTACCAAACTCTGGACCTGCCCACCCCAGGGACCTGGACCCTGAGAGGCCCAAACAGGCTGTTGCCACGGACCCCTGGCTGAGGCTGCTTTCCTGCTGGGGACTGTGGCCAGACCCCTTCCTCCTGGCTGGCCATGCAGCACCCTGAGCGATGAACCTGGCCCCTTTGGGCGGCCTTGGTTACCCCTGCCAAAAGGACTGTCGTGGCAGAGCAGCCATGGCCAAGTGGACTCAGGGTTCATTTTCGGAACCCCTTTAAGCTTATAGAAAGTCCCCATCATCACCCAGCTCGGCCCCGGGGCACCGAGTCCGTCTGGTGTGGGGCGTCCTTTCGACAGAGCCTCCTCCACAAACCCAGACTCTGGCTTCCACCAGGGCCCCGGACACCTGCTTCCTCAGGGCAGACAGAGAGGGGTGACACACTGCACCCTGTGGCTGGGAAAAGGGGCCTGGGACTGTGCCCGTCTGGGACGGAGCAGAGCCACCATCCCATGCAGGCACTATCACCGCAGGCAAAGCTGGGACTGGGGAAGGCAGCCTGCCCGGGCGGCCTCAGGGACTGGGGTACAATGTGGGAGCTAGGGTGGAAGCCAAGCTGCTTCCCACCCTCCCAAACACCCGTTTGGGCTCCAGGGGCGAGGGGTGAGGGGCGCAGCCATGGGTGATCCACGTGCTCGGGGCAAATGCAGACACTCCAGCATCACCATCAGGGCCACGATGTCCACCCTCCAGCACCGCCAGAGGCCCCAGGGGAGGGCGGCTGTGCCCACGGGGCTTGTGCTCTACCCAGGTGCAGCGGGTGTGGGGCGACCAGTCCAAGCCAGCCGGGCAAATCCGAGCTCCTTCTCGGGGGTTCTGGGCAGGCCACCTGTTCCACCTGAGCTTCCACGAGCTCCCCTCCGACAGAGGCAGGGCGATTACACTCCCTCCCAGAGCTGTCCCCAGGGGGTCCAGGCATGAGGGACAGCCCTGACCTCACCCTTGGGGCTCTCCCAGAGGGGCTGGCCCTGAGACGGGCTTCACGGCACAGGACCCAGGTCCTTCCCATGCTGTGTTCCCAGAGCTGAATCAGGGACCCACTGGCTTTGGATAGATGCGGCCACAGCGGGCCCCCAGGGGCTCCAGAGCCTGGAGGGCCATCACCAGGCCAAGCTAGCCCACAGCCGGGCCTCGATGCCCCAGCCGCCCATCCAGCCTTGTAACCATCTTGGTCTTTCTAGATCATGAATGTCCGGGCCAGAGTGCAGATGCTGGCCAAGTTGTAAGTAGCCGGGTCCGCCCTGGGCCAGGCCCGTGGGTGTGCGTTGCACGGTGAGGTGAACCTCTCGCATGGCAAAAACCTGGATCGCTCAGGATGCTGGCGGCAGGGGGCCTGGAGCCTTCCTCCTGCCCCCGCTCTCCCCTCGTGCCTGCAGCCGGGGGCTTCCCAGTGGCCGCTGCCCTGTTGGCAAGCGAGGAAGGGCCCCCACCTTCCCAGGAGCTCCGCCTCAAGCCAGCAGCGGCCACAGAGTGCCCCTGGGCACAGGCACGAGGGCGGGAGCGGCTGGCCCAGGAGCAGCAGGGCCGCTCGGAGCTCTGAGCTCAGCGGCTGAAGGGAGCTGGAGCTGAGAAGGAGGGGTCCGCAGGCCTCACCTGCAACCCCTCCCCAGCCCCATCCATGCTCCGTACCCCCCGCCCCACATCCTGCCGCAGGCTGAAGGTAAGTGGCCAGCTACGGGCTGCTGTGTGTGGCAGTCCAGGCCAGTACAGGCTGGCGAGAGTAAGTCCAGGCATGAGCCCAGGGGCCACGGGACGGTGTCCCCCTGCACAAGGAGCCAGGAGACAGTAAGGGAGCCGAGGAGCCCTCATGGGGGCCCAGCAGCCCTGGGTCGCGCAGCCCAGCCCACCCTGCGGTGGAGACAGGCCTTCACCCAGTACACGCAGGCCTGGCCCTCGGGTCGTCGCAGTGAGTCACTCATGTTGTTCACAGATCACCACGCTCAGGAGCCGCATTGACCAGGCCCAGAAGCAGTGAGTAGCCCTGCCGTCCTCGCTCCGCACTGGGCACAGGGGCCCTTGGGGCCAGCCGCTGTAGCCAGTCCCTAACAAGGGCCGGTGGTGGCTGGCCTCGGCAGGGCAGTAACGAGACTAACCCGGCCAGGCCACCCAGGCCAGCATGCGCAGGCCTGTGGCCAGGGACCCGGAGCCTCCTCCCTCTCCTGCACGCAGGGGAGCCCTGGGGGGTGGCAGAGTCAGGAGGAGGGATCCCAATGGGGCTTGCCTGTCACGCCCTCGCCCCGAGTCTGGCACTGGCTGCAGGGAGAGGGCAGCCAGGGGACCCCTAGAAGGGGCTACTCGGGGGGCCTTTGGTGTGGCCAACCTGGGCCCCAGGGTATCCCGCCAGTGTCCCACCCTCCAAGGGGACCTAGGACAGGGAATTAAGCAGTCAGGGCTTCATCACCAGCCCCTCTGTGACGCTGGGCAAAATCATGGACTCCTCAGGATGGTGAAACCTCATCCATAAAATCGTGTCCCTGGGGGCTGTGGGATCCCTTGACACAGCTACTCGACCACCTGCATGGGGCTGCACCCAGGGTGCCCCCGGCGATGCCACGCTGGGGATCCTGTCATGGAGCCCAGCTGCACAGCCAGTGCCATTTCCCCAAGGATCGCAGTGTTTGGGGGCTACTTGGAGTTTCGATGTTTTCTGGGATTCTTCTCCCTCCTCCTGTCGCCTTGGCTTCCCTGCGGCGCCCAGGGCGGGCTCCTCCGTGGTGCACGTGACCTCACGGCTTCCCTGTTGTGCCGTCAGGGGTCATTGCAGACCCCTCTGAGGGTGGGCAGTCGGCGTGGTGTGCATGTGCCTGCGTGTGTGCATGTGTGCATGTGCCGAGAGTGCCCAGGAACGTGTGTGAGGGCACGGCCTTTGCCAGCCAGGTGTCCTGCTGAGCAGCCGCGTCTGAATGGGGCCGGCCTCGCGGGCCGAAGCACTCCTGTCCTCCACCCGCCTTCACCCCTCACCCGCACCCAGCTCCTCCCGGCTCGTGGCCACATGAAGACCTCAGACAAATGGGGCAGGCTCCTGGGCCCCTCAGAGGCCACCGTCTGGAGGGGCATGAGCTCTTTCAAGGCCAAGCGTCTAGGATTATATCATTATCTGCTAAGACAGTCTTCCCCAGCTCAGGGGTCTGTCTGCAGTGGTACCTCAGGCAAAGAAAGGAGGACAGAGGGAGGGTGCCCCGGGCTCACGTGCCAGCCCCCTAACCACACTAACGACCTAGGCCCGCCAGGCACAGGTGAGTGGGCACTGCCCGGACTGAAGCTGGGTGTGGGCCGCAAGCTTGGGCCGGGCCTGTGCCCTGAGAGCAGCCTGGGGTCGGGCTGAGAGTCCGCCCAGGGTGGGGGACCAGGAGGGGCATGGCCAGAGGCCCTGACCCTGAAGGATCACTTGCTTCCCATTTGCAGCAGCAAGAAGGCTGGGACCCCAGCCAAGGGCAAAGTCGGCGGGCGCTGGAAGTAGAGAGGCCAGAAAGGCCCCTCGAGGCAGAGACCCTCCGCCCTCTTGCACACCAGGGCCGCTCGTGGGACTCCACATCCTCCAGCCCCCACAATCCTGTCAGGGGCTCCCTGACAGTCCTGGGGGTGGAGAGGCCATCCCGGGGCGTCCCCCGCGTCTGTGTCCTTGCTGCCTTCATCCCCTGGGGCCTGTGAATAAAGCTGCAGAACCCCCTTCACAGTCTGTACTTGCTTCTGCATGGGGGCCCCGGAGGACACGAGAGGAGGCAGGTAGGGGCTAGCCAATGGCACAGCGTCCTGGTCATCCGCGGGGCCAGCTCAGGAGGGCACTGGCCAGTACGCGCAGGGCCAGCTCAGGAGGGCACTGGCCAGCACGTGCCACCTGCTGCTACGGCCAGGGCGGTGCCTGGATGCCCATCAGACGCTGCCCACAGCTTTTCCCTCTAAAACGTGGGCTCCATCCCCGCGCAAGCCTATAGGGCCCCTCCACTCTCCACTCCCATAGGGTCTTTGTGCAGAAGGGGGTGATCTGCAGGCCTCACCCCCAGCCCCAGACCCTGGCCATCTGCGCCAGCTGTCAATCCACTGGGGGCAGAGAAACTTTGCCTCGGGAGGGGGTGAGGGAGGAGGGCAGGGCTGCGAAAGAGACTTTGCCACCCCCCAGAAAGGCAGAGGCAGGCGGGAGCGGCTCCTGCGTGAGGGGTGCACCCCAGGCCCTGGTCGGGGAAAAACAGTGCAGGAGAGTGCACTCCCAGCAGACAGCAGGCAGGGAAGACACAGACAGCCTTCTCCGGAACGCAGGACAGCAGAGCGCACGCGGGTCGTAAATCTGAAAATCCTGACCAGAGAAAATTATGGAAAGTATAAATCATAGAAATTGGATCAAGACGCAGAGACTTGTACAGCAAAATATTCACAGAGGAAGGTTTGGAGTCCAGAACGGCCCCCAGAAAGACTCAGGGGCGGGCGGGCGGCCACATCCGGGAGTTCTGCTGCCGGGGATGGGGGCCAAGGAGCGGGGGATGGGGGGGAGCAGCACGGCCCCCTCAGTCTGCGATGGGGTTGGGGACAAGGCCAGGACCCAGAGGACAAAACAGAACCTCCAGATAGCATCACACACATGTGCAGACCCTGCAACACACACACACATAACATCACCCCCCACAACACACACACACACACACACAAACATCACCGCCCACAACACACACACACACACAAAATCACCCCCCACAACACACACACACACATCACTCCCTACAACACACACACACACAAAAACATCACCCCCCTACAACACACACACACACATAACATCACCCCCCCACAACACACACACAATCCCCCAATACACACACACAATCACCCCCACAACACACACAATCACCTCAATACACACACAATCACAACACACACAATCACCCCAACACACACACACAATCACCCCAACACACACACAAACATCACCCCCCACAACACACACACATCACCCCCCACAACACACACACACATAACATCACCCTCCACAACACACAATCACCCCCACAACACACAATCACCCCAACACACACACAATCACCCCTACAATACACATACACACACAAACATCACCCACCACAACACACACCAACCCCCACAACACACACACACACATAACACCCCCACCACACACACACAATCACCCACAACACACACAAACACACAAACATCACCCCCCACAACACACACACACATCCCCCCCCACAACACACACACACACCACCCCCAACACACACACACCACCTCCCCAACACACACACACCACCCCCCAACACAGACACATAACATCACCCCCCAAAACACACGCACACATCACCCCCAACACACACACATAATATCACCCACCACAACACACACACACACACAAAATCACCCCCAACACACACACATACCACCCCCAACACGCACACACACATCACCCCCCACAACACACACACATCACCCCAACACACACACCTCCCCACAACACACACACACACAGAAACATCACCCCCCCAAAACACACACACATAACATCACCCCCCACAACACACACACACAGAAACATCACCCCGCACACACACACATACAAATAATATCCCCCCCAACACATGCACACACAGAAACATCACCCCCCACAACACACACACACACAGAAACATCCCAGGTGTGTGACCCCACAACACACACAAAGAAACATCATCCGAGGTGTGTGACCCCACAACACATACACACACACGCAGAAACATCATCCCAGGTGCGTGACCGCACAACATACACACACAGACACACACACACAGAAACATCATCCCACGTGTGTGACCCCACAACACACAGACACACACATACAGAAACATCATCTCAGATGTCCTATCCCACAACACACACACAGAGAACAACATCATCCCCAGGGATGTGATCCCAGAACACACACACATAGCAATATCATCCCTAAGTGTGTACACCCCACAAGACACACACACACACAGAGAAACATCATCCCAGTTGTGTGGCCCCAGAACACACACACACACACACACACACACACACACAGAAACATCATCCCAGGTGTGTGACCCCACAAAACACACAGACACAGAGAAACATCCCAGGTGTGTGACCCCATAACACATACACACACACACTCACAAACATCATCCGTGTGTCCCCACAACACACACACAGAGAAATATCATCCCCAGGTTTGTACACCCAACACACACATACACAAACATCATCCCCAGGTGTGTGACCTCACAACACACACACAGACACACACAGAGCAACATCATCCCAGGTGTGTGACCTCACAACACACACACACACACACACACACACACAGAAACATCTCCAGGTTTGTACACCCACAACACACACAGAGCAACATCTCCCCAGGTGTGTACACCCCACAACCCACACACACAAAGACACAGAAACATCCCAGGTGTGTGACCCCACAACACACACACAGAGCAACATCATCCCCAGGTGTGTGACCCCAGAACACACACAGAGCAACATCCTCCCCAGGTTTGTACACCCCACAACACACACAGAGCATCATCCCCAGGTGTGTGACCCCAGAACACACACACACACACACACACACACAGAGCAACATCCCCAGGTGTATATACCCTACAACACACATAGGCACATACACAGAGCAACATCATCCCTGGTGTGTGACTACACAACACACACACACACACACAAAGAAAAACATCTTAGGTGTGTGACCCAACAACACACACACAGACACACACACAGAGAAACATCATCCCAGGTGTGTGACCCCACACACAACACACACACACATAAGGAGCAACATCATCCCAGATGCGTGACCCTACAACACATACAGACACACAGAGAGACATCCCAGGTGCATGACCCCACACACAACACACACACACATACAGAACATCATCCCAGATGTGTGACCCTACAACACACACACACACACAGAAACATCATCCCAGGTGTGTGACCCCACAACACACACCAATGTGCACCGTGGGCCTGCACCCCCACAGCAGGCCTGCACATGGGAGTCTCAGCTACGCTGCGCCCAACCAGGCGTGTTCATTGGGTAATGCACAGGTGGGAACCGGGGTACGCCCGGGTGAAATCTGTTGGTTGGATGTCACCAATCTTGCTGTGCTGCCTGGTTCTGAAAGGCCCCCCAGGAGCACCAAATGGACAGGAGGCAAGCAGCTATGCTGGGCACAGAGGTGGTCACCACCCATGGACAGGGGCTCCGTCCCCCACGCATCCTGCAATTGGGACTGGGAGTGCAGTGGGAGCCCGTGGCAGCATGACGAGGGAAAAGGAGTCCGCGATCCCAGTGCACAGCTCGTGCTCACCGCAGAGCGCGGGGTGAGGCGTCTAGGACTGGAACGAAACGACTTGGCTTAGTGGAACAGACAGGGACTGAAGCAGAGCCTCCAAACCAGAGGACACGTGAGAGACAGTGACCAAAGCTGGCCATGGACACGAGAATGCCCCAGCCAACTGTCTGCCCTCTGCGGCCAAGTCAGAACCCAACTAACTAGAAGGCGGCCCTTTCAGCAAGGGTTAGAAAGTAAAAACACACCTGAATAGCTCAGGGATCAGAGGGGACGTGGTCAGGGAGAGTGGGTGAGGCTGGAACTGAAGGAGAATGGGAGACCCCAGAGCAAAGCCCTGGGTGCAGCTAAAACAAGACAGAGGGAAATGCGAGGCCTGGATGCTTATATCAGAAAGCGGGGGCCGGGCGCGGTGGCTCACGCCTGTAATCCCAGGACTTTGGGAGGCTGAGGCGGGCGGATCACGAGGTCAGGAGTTCGAGACCAGCCTGGCTAACACACGGTGAAACCCCGTCTCTACTAAAAAAAAACAAAAAAAAAAAAACCAAAAAGTTAGCTGGGCGTGGTGGTGGGTGCCTGTAGTCCCAGCTACTCGGGAAGCTGAGGCAGGAGAATGGCGCGAAGCTGGGAGGCAGGTTTGTGAGCCGAAATTGTGCCACTGCACTCCAGCCTGGGTGACAGAGCGAGACTCCATCTCAAAAAAAAGAAAGGAGGAAAACCAAAAAACAAAGAAAACAAAGTATGGATTACCCCAGAACAAAAAAATAGAGAGGGGAAAGTATTAATAAGTATGCATCTAGTTTATGAAATTAGGAAATGAACAAAACACTAAAACCAAGGGAAAGAAAGCAATGGAAATAATAAGAAACATAGGAGGTTAATAGAATGAAAAATAAAAATTAATGAAGATCAACAAAATTAAATATTGCTGCTGTGTTGGCCGGGCGCAGTGGCTCACACCTGTAATCCCAGCACTTTGGGAAGGCCGAGGAGGGCAGATCACTTGAGCC
The DNA here is from genome assembly GCF_000001405.40 of Homo sapiens. Lineage (NCBI taxonomy): Eukaryota > Metazoa > Chordata > Mammalia > Primates > Hominidae > Homo > Homo sapiens. The sequence continues at coordinate 112,193 of NW_021160004.1, forward strand.
TAGGAGTTCCAGATCAGTCTGGGCAACATGGCAAAAACCTATCTCTACAAAAAATGAAAATAAATTAGCCAGGCGTGGTGGCAGGTGCCTGTAATCCCAGCTCCTTGGGAAGCTGAGGTGACAGCATCACTTGAGCCCAGGAAGCGGAGGTTGCGGTGAGCCGTGATCTCGCCACTGCGCTCCAGCCTGGGCGACAGAGTGAGACTCTGGCTTAAAAATAAATAAATAATTTAGAAATGGTTTATGTGAAAAAACTAATAAATAGTCTAACATCTGGCAAAAAAATTAGTAGAAAGAGGAAGAGACACAAATAAGCAATGTCGACGAAAAGAGGAACGTAATGACGAAGGCTGCAGAGATGACATTGTGGTGAAAGAATCCCATAAACAACTTTATGACAATTTAAAAACTGAGCAAAACAGCCCATTCCCAGGAGAAATAGAACATGGAATTGACTCAAAGTGAAGTTCAAACCTTGCATAGACTAATTCATTTTAAAGACATTGAACCTTGCATTCCGAATCAGGGGTGCAAAGACAAAAAAAAAGACAAGGAACCAGTAGTTAAACCTCCTACCAAGCAAAAAACAGCAAGAATTTTTTTCAATTACATTATGACCAAGGGGGTCCTTTATTATTATTTTTTTAATTTTACCTTTTTAAAGAGATGAGGTCTTGCTCTGTCACCCAGGCCAGAGTGCAATGGTGAGATCCTGGCTCACTGCAGCCTCAAACTCCTGGGCTCAAGCGATCTCCCCCACCTCACCCTCTCACATAGCTGGGACCACAGCTATGTACCACCACACTTGGCTTTTTTTTTTTTTTTTTTTTTTTTTAGAGATGGGGTCTCACTCACTATCTTGCTCAGGCTGGTCTCAAACTCCAGGCCTCAAGTGATCCTCCCAGCTCGGCCTCCCAAAGTGCTGGGATTACAGGTGAGACCCACCATTCCCGGCCTCGGGGGTTCTTTTTAATGTAATAATAGTTGTACATCAGAAAACTGAATGATGTAGTGATTCACAACACATAAAGCATGTAAAGACTACAAAAAATTTTGGATAAAATATAACACCACTCATAGATAGACATTCTGGTCAACTAAGAACAGAAGGGAGGTCCGGGCGCAGTGACTCACGCCTGTAATCCCAGCACTTTGAGAGGCCGAGGCAGGCGAATCACTTGAGGTCAGGAGTTTGAGACCAGCCTGGCCAACAGGGTGAAACCCCATCTCTACCAAAAATACAAAAAAAATTAGCCAGGCGTGGTGGTGGGTGCCTGTGATCCCAGCTACTCAGGAAGCTGAAGTAGGAGAATCGATTGAACCCGGGAGGCAGAGGCTACAGTGAGCTGAGATCGTGCCACTTATTAATTTATATTTTATTTTATTTTAATTTGATACAGAGTCTCACTCTGTCACCCAGGCTGGGGTGCAGTGGCACAATCTCGGCTCACTGCAACCTCTGTCCCCCAGGTTCAAGCAATTCTCCTGCCTTGGCCTCCCTAGTAGCTGGGATTACAGGCGCCCACCACCACACCCAGCTAATCTGTGTATTTTTGGTAGAGACAGGGTTTCACCACATTAGCCAGGTTGGTCTTGAACTGACCTCAGGTGATCCACCCTCCTCAGCCCCACAAAGTGCTGGGATTACAGACGTGAGCCACTGCGCCCGGCTAGTAGCAAGGAACATTTGTTCAACAAGATGTAAAAACCACAAACCAGAGAATAAAGAGATTGGTAAATTCAACAAGAAATAACTACAGTTTTTAATAAGTGAACTTCTCTTCATCAAAAGACACCATAAACCAAGCCAAAAAAAACAAGCCATCTTTTGGGAGGAGATGTTTGTAACACATATCACTGATCAAGAATTAGTTTTCACTATCTAAAAAGAAGGTAGGACACCATTAGAAAAAAGGCAAGCAACTGAATAGAAAAATGGGCGAGAGGAGGTGACAGGCAGCTGGCAGAGAAGAGAACCTGAATGGTCAGCACACCCATGAAAGGGGAAACCAAATTAAAACTGCAAAGTGGATGAACAAAATATAAACATCAGTCTGGAGAAGGAAAAGTTCATTTCTGCAGAACACCAGCTCAGCGGAGGTGAAATGATAGCGTTAAGAATGCACCATTTTGCAACCATTGATGGGATCGTTGATTGAGACAAGGATTGTCACTGGACGCCCAAGTCGCAGGTGAAAGTTAACGGGGGTCAGAATGTTCAGTTTCGAAGAACCACCTGATTGATTACTTATAAAGTTAAAAGGGTGTCTTGAAAATAGAGAACCCCAGCCAGGCACGGTGGCTCACGCCTGTAATCCCAACACTTTGGAAGGCCGAGGTGGCTGGATCACTTGGTCAGGAGTTCGAGACCAGCCTGGCCAACATGGTGAAACCCTGTCTCTACTAAAAATACAAAACTTAGCTGGACGTGGTGGCGGGTGCCTGTAATCCCAGCTACTCAGGAGGCTGAGGCAGGAGAATCCCTTGAACCCGGGAGGCAGAACTTGCAGTGAGCCGAGATCATGCCACTGCACTCCAGTCTGGGCAACAGAGCGAGACTCCGTCTCAAAAAAAAAACACCACAATGGCGCCCAGTGACATCTTGGCCAGCGTGCAGGGTGCATCCCTCAGTCCGGCATTTGCATTGCTGGGCACAGATTGCTGTTGGTCACTGCAAAGAATCAGAAAACCTCCACACATTCACCAAGAGGAGAATGGACAGGTACACCGTCGTGTATTCATAGATGGGTTCTGCACGATTACAGCTGACCTGCGGCTGTGAGCCACCAATGGCGAAGTCCCGGACACAGCAACCACATTGGGGTGGGGGTGAAAGAGTTGCAAAAGGAAAAATCATGCTACTTACATGAAATTTAAACAATAGTTTTATATTTTAAAATATCACTTGCACCTGGATATACAGAACACACACTTATGATGAAACGTCCCTGCCAGCAGAGCAGAGGATTCCACCACAAAGGAGCTGCACAGAGCCCTCAACTCAGATGAAGCCATCACGTTGTATTTCTTCTTCTTCTTCTTCTTCTTTTTTTCTCAGATAGGGTCTCACTGTGTTGCCCAGGCTGGAGTGCAATGACACCACCACGGCTGACTGCAGCCTCAACCTCCCAGGCTCAGGTGATCCTCCCATCTCAGCCTCCTGAGTAGCTGGAACTACAGGTGCCCACTGCCATGCCTGGCTAACTTTTGTTTTTGTTTTTGTTTTTGAGACGGAGTCTTGTTCTGTCGCCGAGCTGGAGTGCAGTGATGATCTTGGCTCACTGCAACCTCCGACTCCTGGGTTCAAGCAATTCTCCTGCCTCAGTCTCCCGAGTAGCTGGGATTACAGGCGCGTGCCACCACGCCCGGCTAATTTTTGTATTTTTAGTAGAGATGGGGTTTCACCGTGTTGGCTAGGATGGTCTCGATCTCCTGACCTCGTGATCCGCCCACCTCAGCCTCCCAAAGTGCTGGGATTACAGGCATGAGCCACCGCGCCCGGCCCCAACTTCTGTATTTTTTGTAGAGACTCACTGTGTTGCCCAGGCTAGTCTCAAACTCCTGGACTCGAGCCTCGCAAAGTGCTGGGATTACAGGTGTGAGCCGCCGTACCCAGGCCCAACTTTTGTATTTTTTGTAGAGACTCACTGTGTTGCCCAGGCTAGTCTCAAACTCCTGGACTCGAGCCTCCCAAAGTGCTGGGATTACAGGCGTGAGCTACCATGCCCAGCCATGTTGTCTTTCTTAAGCTAAGTGGGGGCTGGGTAGATGGGGGCTCTTCCTAACTTTATTTATGCCTACTGGCATAGTTTGAATAGTTCCTAATTGTTAACTATAGGGGGAAGGGCATTTGCTAAAAGTCAATTCTTGTTTCTGAAAGCAAAACAACACGAAGGCTCAAGAAACTATAGAAAACTATAAATAAGCACTTCCTTTATCTCCCCTTGCTGGGGGAACACTAAGGCGTTCCAGCCCAAGACAGGAACCAAAGAAGGATGCCTGCTTTTACCATTACTGTTCGACCCTGGTCTGGAAATGAAGGACAATGCCAATGATGTGAGGCGGAAATGAGACGTATAAGTTCTGGAAAGGAGGAGCCAAAACAGCACATTCCTAGGAGCCCCCAGAGAGTCGGCGGAAGAGTTTTCAGAAAGAATGAGAGAATTCAGGAACGCGGCCAGATGCAAAATACATATTTTAAATCAGTTTTTAAAATTATCTTCCAACAACCACCAGCTAGAAGATAAAGTAGAATTTGAACATTTTTTACTCTAAAAAAACCCAAACAAGAGTATAAAGTACTTAGCGACGGTCCTCTTGAAAAGTGTTTGGAATCTGTAGCAAGAAAATGACAAACTTGAATGACAAATGTAAGAAAAAAACTTTTGAAAAAACAAAAGAAAAAAAATGGGTAGGGAGTTTGACTCTCACAAAAAATCATTTCTTTCCAAATCAATGTGTAGCCTTATCAGATTTTCAGCCAACATTCTAGTGAGTTTATTTGGGGGTGGGGGTGGGCGGGGGTGGGGAGATACTTGGCAAAAAGAAGCTGAAATTCGTACAGGAGAAACACGAAGGAACGGCCAAGAACATTTGGAACATCAGAGCCGAATTCAAAAGTGAAGGTGATGTAGCAGATTCATATTTAGAGCTCCCCGCAGACCAGCAGTCAGACAAAGCGTCTTTGGCCCTGGCCCTGTTAACTCTCACAGCAGGCTGAGGAGGTAGATGCTCTTATCCTTGGAGTCTTCCCAGAGAGCAAACTGAAGCTCAGAGGGGGTTGAACAAAATCCTGAAGGTCACACAGCTACGAGGCAGTGCAGTCAACTCTGAGACCGTGACTCCTGACTTCACAGCCACATCTTCTGTAGGTCGTAACACGGATCCTCATTCCACAATACCTATCCCGCAATGTTGTGTATGCACGGGAACCTGGGGGTGGCACGGTCGAGGGAGTCTGGCGGGGATATTTCATAAAAGAGGTCGAGAAAATCAGGTATGCACTGGGGAGGAAAAAAAGGCAGTGAGATTTGCTCTCCACATCAAATGCCAAAATACATTCCAGGTGAATTACAGAGGCTACGACATGTGAAAAAAAAAATGGTTAAAAATAAAGCTAGAGGCCGGGCGCGGTGGCTCACGCTTGTTATCCCAGCACTTTGGGAGGCCGGGGCGGTTGGATCACCTGAGGTTAGGAGTTCGAGACGTGCCTGGCCAACATGGCAAAACCCTGTCTCTACTAAAAATATAAAAAAATAAGCCGGGCATGGTGGCGGGAGTCTGTAATCCCAACTACTGGGGAGGCTTAGGCAGGAGAATCACTTGAACCCTGGAGGCCGAGGTTGCAGTGAGCCAAGATTGCGCCACTGCACTCCAGCCTGGACAACAGAGCGAGACTCCATCTCGAATAGATAAATAAGCTAGAGAGATGTGTGCTGCACACTTATCTGCTTTCATGCTGGGGAACAATGTTTCCAGCTTTAGAACAGTGGAAACATGATGGAAGAAAAGGGCAGCTCAGCCCATTTCACCACTTCACCATTTCAAGTTTCTGTCTATCCAAACATGTCCACCAAAATTAAAAGGCAGATTTCCACTCCTGGCTGAGATGGGGTAGCAGGGACTGGATTTATCTTCCTGCCTGAAACAACCAAACAGCAACACAGAACAGACAAAATACACAGGACAATGAAACAACCAAACAGCAACACAGAACAGACAAAATACACAACACAATGGCTCTCAAGATCCCACACGTGGGCCGTGCACAACAGTGCTTCCCGGGCTGGGAATTGGCCTCAGGGGCCTCTCGCTGCCCATGCACTTTCTGGTGGGTTTCCAGGCCTCCGTGCGGGAAGCGGGAGTTGAGGTGGAGCCCACAGAGTCCCTGAGCTGATGAGACAGAGCTGGGGGTCTCCAGGCAGCTGAAGTTCGTGAAGCTCAGAGAGCTGCCCAGAGAGAGAAGCTGAGACCCGAGAGTCCCCCTGGAGTATTAGGGACTGAGCCATCAGCACATCCCAGGGAAAACGTCCCAAGGCGGGAAAGCACAATCCGAAAGGACTAGAGAGACCAGTGCCGGGAGCTCACATGGACCTAGGAATTGTGTCTGCTCCCACCAGCCTCAGCAGAAAACCCTATCACGCACAGCGGTGGGGGGCTCAGAAACAGCTTGCCTCCATAGTGGGGAATAGTTAGCCCACACTATTCCAGACCTCCCTTACAAACGGTAAAAGTAATACTTGAAAGGATCAAACTGCTTGCAGATAAACAGCTACATTCCAGAACAAAGCTCAGGAATATTTGTGGAAATATAAAAGTATCTAGCTCCCACCCGAGTTAAAGTTTACAATGTCTGCATTCCAATAAAAAATTATCAAAAAGACAAAGAAGCAGGAAAGGGTGACCCATAAAAAAGAGGAAATATCAGTCACTCAGAGCCAACTGTGGGACGTTAAAGCTAACAACTAAAAACCCAAGTCAACCCCTAAAATAACAAAACAAAGAGTTACAGCGAAAAAGCCAGCAAACAAGATGATGTAACGAATAAAACTTCTCATGAACGCAAAAGGAGGCAGAAAAAGAGTAAAGGGGAGAAAAGAACAGATGTGACAAATAGAAAGCAAATAACAAGGTGACAGACTCTAACCTAACCATACCAGTAAGCACATTAAATATCAATGGGCTAAACTCCCCTATTAAGAAGCAGAGGGGCCATGCATGGTGGCTCACTCCTGTAATCCCAGCACTTTTAGAGGCTGGTAGAGGAGGATCCCTTGAGTCCAGGAGTTCAAGACCAGCCTGGGCAACAGAGGGAGAACTCATCTCTCCAAAAAAAAAAAAAAAATACTTTAGCTGGGCGTGGTGGCATGTGCCAGTAGTCACAGCTACTCGGGAGGCTGAGGCAGGTGGATCCCTTGAGCCCTGGAGGTCAAGGCTGCCATGAGCTGTGATTGCACCAATACACTCGAGCCTGGATGCCAGTGAGACCCTGTCCCCCCCACAAAAAGAAAGCAGAGGTTGTCTGATTGATAAAAAAGCAAAGCCCAACTCTGTGCTGCCTGTAAGAAATATGGTTTAACTGGCCAGGTGTGGTGGCTCACACCTGTAATCCCAGCACCTTGGGAGCCCAAGGTGGTAGGATTGCTTGAGCCCACGAGGTCAAGAACACCCTGGGCAACATTTCTACCAGGGTTTGGTAGAAACCCCGTCTCTACCAAAAATACAAAAATTAGCCAGGCGTGGTGGCACACGCCTATAATCCCAGCTACTAGAGAGGCTGAGGCACGAGGATCGTTTGAACCCAGAAGGCGGAGGTTGCAGTGAGCTGAGATCACGCCACTGTACTCCAGCCTGGGCGACAGAGCGACACTCTGTCTCAGAAAAAAAAAAAAAAAAAAAAAAGAGAGAAGGCCGGGCGCGGTGGCTCACGCCTGTAATCCCAGCACTTTGGGAGCCTGAGGCAGACGGATCACCTGAGGTCAGGAGTTCGAGAGTAGCCTGGCCAACATGGCGAAAACCTGTTTCTATTAAAATTTAAAAATTAGCTAGGTGTGGTGGCGTGTGCCTGTAATCCCAGCTACTCGGGAGGCTGAGTCAGGGAGAATTACTTGAACCTGGGAGACAGACGTTGCAGTGAGCTGAGATCGCGCCACTGCACTCCAGCCTGGGTGACAGAGCAAGACTCGGTCTCCAAAAAAAAAAAAAAAAAAAAAAGAATTCTCAAGCAATGACCTTGCTCTCAGCTTAAGGAAAATAGAAAAAGAAAAGCAAATTAAACCCAAAGTGGGCAGAAGAAAGGAAATAGTAAACATCAAGTAGAAGCTGATAAAACAGAAAACAATAAATAATAGAACAAAATTGAGAAAACCAAAACTTGGTTCTTTAAGAATATCAGTAATCCTGATAAACCTTTAGCCAACTTGATGGGGAAGGGCCCGGGGAAAGGAGGAGAAGGATAGAAATTACCGATATCAGGAACAAGAGAGGCAGCGGGAGTACAGGTTCTGCAGAGATTAAAAGAATAAAGAGGCTGGGCGCAGTGGCTCTCGCCTGTAATCCCAGCACTTTGGGAGGCTGAGGTGGGTGGATCACCTGAGGTCAGGAGTTCGAGACCAGCCTGCCCAACATAGTGAGACCCCCATCTGTACTAAAAATGCAAAAATTAGCTGGGTGTGGTGGCACGCTGGTCTCGAATTCCTGGCCTCAAGTGATCCACCTGCCTCAGCCTCCCAAAGTGCTGAAATTACAGGTGTACAGATGTAAGCCATTGCACCTGGCCTTAAATTTCTTCTTTTTTTTTTCTTTTTTGAGATAGAGTCTTGCTCTGTCGCCCAGGCTGGAGTGCAGTGGTGCCACCTCTGCTCACTGCAACCTCCGCCTACCAGGTTCAAGCAATTCTCCTGCTTCAGTCTCTGGAGTAGCTGGGATTACAGGCATGCACCACCATGCCTGGCTAATTTTTTGTATTTTAGTAGAGACGGGGTTTCACCGTGTTGCCCAGGCTGGTTTTGAACTCCTGAGCTCAGGCAATCCACCCGCCTCGGCCTCCCAAAGTGCTGGGATTACAGGCGTGAGCCACTGCGCCCGGCCAAGTTTTCTCTTTAAACGGATGGCATCAGAAGTGGATCTGGCGTAGAGCTTCCAGCGGCCCCCAGGAGCTCTGACTGACCAATGGAGGACCCACAGGGCCCACTGTGCCCTCTGCTCTCTCAGAGCAGCTGGGGATCGTGGGAAGTTCTCTCTTGGATTCCAAAGCTCCATGGATGTGTGTTTTGAGCCATCTGAGTTTGCTTGAGCAAATTTTTTTATCTAAGCTGGGTTCAGAAGTCGTGACAGAAACTGGACTGGGTCCAGGATGGAATCTGATTTGATCATTCACTGGCTTGGATGCAGTTAGAGGCCTTGTGTGTCTTGACTGGGTCAGGCGGAAACTGGCTGTAAATGGCAGGGCTGCAGGAGGTGCACACTCCAGCTTTTGGACATTCACAAGGATGTTCGTGTTCTACTCTCTTGGTTTCTTTTTCTTGCACACTAAGGCAGGGAAAAATCATTGCTCAGTTGATCACGAGGATCTAAGAGCCAAAGCCAAGATTTAATGTAAAATGGGATCCTTCATCTCTGAAAAACCGAGCACCTTCTGGCTCGTATGTCCGTACGTGTTAGGTCCCGGACGCGGCAGATGTTTACAGAAATGGTGGCATCTTACTAAAGGTGAATGAAAATTACGGTGGGATGTTCCAAGTGAACACCACTGCACTTTAAGAAGTGCACCTAAAAACAAGGGCTCCTAATTAGCCTCATCAGGGATGCCAATTGATGTGAAGAAGCTTCTAAAATGATTTCAGTATTTTTACTCCCTCTTTTAAAAGTGTCTGCACAAAAGGCAAATGAGGCCTGGCAAGGTGGCCCATGCCTGTAATTCCAGCACTTTGAGAGGCCAAGGTGGGAAGATTGCTTAAGCCCTGGAGTTTGAGACCAGCCTGGGCGATACAGTGAGACACCCGCCCCCCACCCCCCGCTCCACAGCTCCCCACTATCTCTACGGAAAAAAAAAAATTAGCCAGGCACGGTAGCACTCACCTGTAGTCCCAGCTGCTTAGGAGGCTGAGGCGGGAGGCAGAGGCTGTGTCTGAGGCGTGTGAACCAGAGCGACTCCATCTTGAACAGGGGCTGGGTAAAATGAGACTGAGTCCTACTGGGCTGCATTCCCACATGGTCAGGCATTCTAAGTCACTGGATGAGACAGGAGGTCGGCACAAGATACAGGTCATAAAAACCTTGCTGATAAAACAGGTTGCAGTAAAGAAGCCGGCTAAAATGCACCAAAACCAAGATGGTGACGAGAGTGACCTCTGGTCGTCCTCACTGCTACACTCCCACCAGCACCATGACAGTTTACAGATGCCGTGGCAACGTCAGGAAGTTACCCTGTATGGCCTAAAAAGCAGGGGTGGGGGGCATGAGTAATCCACCCCTGGTTTAGCATCTCATCAAGAAATAACCAAAAAATGGGCAACCAGCAGCTCTCGGGGCTGCTCGGTCTATGGAGTAGCCATTCTTTATTCCTTTACTTTCTTAGTAAACTTGTTTTTGCTTTGCGCCGTGGACTCACCCTGAATTCTTTCTTGCACAGGATCCAAATCCAAGAACCCTCTCTTGGGGTCTGGATCAGGACCCCTCTCCTGTAACAATTGCAGTGAGCTATGATGGCACCACTGCACTCCAGCCTGGGTGACAGAGCAACACCCTGTCAAATAAGATAAAGACAAAATAAGATCATAAATATAAATTAATTAAGACAAAGAAAAAGCTTAAGTGACCAATTGATAAGAAAAAATGAATCTGCTGAGCTTTTGGCCTGGTTACTATCCCATACAGAAAGCTATCCTAGATGAAGTGTGTCTAAAAGGTCTCTCAGATCCAGCAGGCTTTACTTCAGATCCACCCACGCTGAGCCCAGGCCGAGGGAAGCCTTTCTTTGCCTTATTCCTTAATGGGTCCCACCCTGTACTCAGTAATTTCAGCTAAGAAGCAGTAGCCACATTAGAAGGACCACCTATCCACAGGTTGGTGTGAAAGTAATTGTGTGTTTTTTTTTTTTTTTTTGAGATAGAGTCTCACTCTGTCGCCCAGGCTGGAGTGCAGTGGCGCGATCTCTGCTCACTGCAAGCTCCGCCTCCCGGGTTCAGACCATTCTCCTGCCTCAGCCTCCCGAGTAGCTGGGACTACAGGCGCCCGCCACCACGCCCGGCTAACTTTTTGTATTTTTAGTAGAGACGGGATCTCACCATGTTAGCCAGGATGGTCTCGATCTCCTGACCTCATGATCCACCCGCCTCGGCCTCCCAAAGTGCTGGGATTACAGGCGTGAGCCACCGCGCCCGGCCATAATTGTGGTTTTTGCAATTACTTTTCAACCAGCCTAATAACTAAAATGCACCTTTCTGACATTCAACGGCTACCTTGAAACCATTTTGTGAAAGAAATTTACATCTCCACAAGACATTTCCATTTGCAACGTCTGGGAGGGACATCCCTTTGTTTTAAATTTACGTAACAAGTCTTACCTTTGTTTAACGTGTTTTTCCTGGCCATGTTGTCTTCACTGGGCCTTGCTTTTTTCTTGGTTGAGCAAATGATGATGGTACAGTATTTAAGCTGAAAGTCTCAGCTTAAATAGCTTTTCATATATACATTTTCTGCCTTGTTTCACCTAAGAGTTATCTTTTTTGAAGGCAAATTGTTCCCTAGCTAACGATTGCTTAGGATGATAAAACAAGTAATTAGAAGATTGATAGTCTAAAGGGGGAAAAGAAAACTATTTGAAAGCTGGCAAATGAAAATTCTTTCTGAAATCTGTAAGATCTGTTTCTATCTGTGTCTGTTATGACTATATGTCTCTCTGTATGACATGTATCTGATAATATTTAGGAAAAAGCTGAAACCACCTTTGCATTGTCTCTTTGACTGAGACGGTGAGAGACATCTAACTTAATTGACTCCATCTTGCCTTTTTTTTTTTTTAGAGGTGGTGTTTTGCTCTTGTCGCCCAGGCTGGAGTGCAATGGCGTAAACTTGGCTCACCACAACCTCTGCCTCCTGGGTTCAAGCGATTCTCCTGCCTCAGCCTCCCAAGTAACTGGGATTACAGGCATCTGCCACAACGCCCGACTAATTTTGTATTTTTTTTAGTAGAGATGAGGTTTCACCATATTGGCCAGGCTGGTCTGGAACTCCTGACCTTGTGATCTGCTCACCTCGGCCTCCCAAAGTGATGGGGTTACAGGCGTAAGCCACCGTGCCTGGCCCCTCCATCTTGCTTCTAACCTCCTTGCTTATTCCTGTCCTTGCTTATTCCTGGGAGTAGGCTGAACTAACTTTGGGAGAAACTTAGTTTATAGTTTAAAACAAAGACGATAACAGCCTTTCCCAGTGGAGAGAGCTACTAAGGGCCCCTATAGTATCCAAAAAAGAGAGAGACAGAAGTATTTGATAAATTAAATTACATGGGAAGCACTGCCAAATAAGAAATGATGTTTAACCTTATTTGAGATATTGTTTGTGAATACGTCATTAATATATGCTCCAAAATTGTATGGGGTTCCTAAAATTCTGATACATCCGGGTATATGCTGTCACTCTTAATTACAGTTAAGTTATTGTAGGCCACAGAAGTAATCAAAATTCCTTGTCAGTTCTTCTTTAACCATGACCATTTTACGTCATTTCCAGAGTTAATTGCTTTTTTCTGACGTTTCTGAAAACTCACAAACACACACAGTCCTACAATATTGAGTCCTCCAGGAGGTTCGTGAAAGGAGAGAAAGGACCCTGATAAGCCCTCTTGAATAGGCTTCTGATAACTTTAGTGTAATGTCATTTGGACTGGGTAAAAATTCCCGGAACTCTAATGGAAAGATTGACTGGTTTATAAAATTGCTAACCTGGGCAGGACAAAAATTAATTGAATACCAAGAAAACACTTTGCCAGCTTTTCATGCTAAATCAGCCAGTACTGATATTGTTTAGATACCCAATTTGAATTAAATCCATCGTCCAAGTCAAATTACCTATGATAACCCTTCTAATAAACAGTGCTATGCACCTGAACTGGAGAAACAAAATTGGTATTTAAGAAGATATAAGTCCAGCATCAAGCATGGACACATGGACAGCCAAGATGGCCACCTGGTCCTTCCTGTGTCCTTGAAGCTTCCACTATTAAATGCTCTGCACTCCATGATTCATCATGGAAGAGACAAATTAATCCAAATTTTATATATATATGTATATATAATATACATATATATATTTGACATGGTGACCGTTGTAAGTTGTTAAAATGGTTTACGACCAATGTTTGGTCTGCCAAACCCATAATCCTGGGAGGACAATCGAAACTTCCATTACACTTCTGCTACTTGATGGGCCATTGAAACATTGCTGGAGGGATTTCCTTCAATTGTCATTTTCAATGCGTGTTTTCTGGTTATATAGAAGCTTTCCCAGGCAAGAGCACTGATGTTATAGCAGTAGCTAAAAGATTATTAGAAAATTGTTTTTCTCATGGGACGTCCCTTGAGAAATCTCCCATGATAGATGTACTTGTTTCACTGCTCAAGTGGTAAAACTGTTAATAACTTGTTACAGATACAATAATATTAAGCAAGGGAACTGAATGAACTGGGCTGCCTTGGTCAAGGGTGTTGCAGGTGGATGGCCGTCGGGTCCATTTCCAGTGGAAAACATAAGTTGGTGCCTTATGAAATAGTCCCTGGAAGTCCTATATAGAACCTCATGTATCTTCCACTCCTCAACTCCGATATGGCTAAAGGCTCCTAGGCCTTAATGCATTATGCCTAAGTATATTTTCACCAGGTACAGAAAGCTTTTCATGGTCCACTGAGGACCCTATCAAACGCTTCACAATCTAGAACCCAGACATTTGGTTTTCTGAGAGTATCACAGAAAGACTGCCCTTGCCACCCACACTGCAGTGAAATTCTAGGACTTTGAACCCTGGGTTCGTTATCTCACCGCTCAAGAGGGCATCGCCAGACTCCAGCAACTGCAGCCCCATTGGAGATTTTAAGGTAAAGCTAATCAGGGAAGTTTCTCCCCAGAAGCAGCTGGCATCCCAGATATGGACAGCTTTTTCCCAAGAACTTGAGACTGTCATGCCTCTGAATAATAGAACTAAAAAGGGATCTCTTATGTGCACTCATGGGGTATACTTTTATTTGTGGAGGATTTTGCAGCCAATCCTATATGTGGACAACCTTCTGCCTTGACAGTTGGAAGACGAAGGGCCACTGTAGGTGAAAAAAAAAATTAGCTCACTCCAAGTCTCACTCTGTTGCCCAAGCTGGAATGCAGTGGTGTGATCTCAGCTCACAGCAACCTTTGCCTCCCAGGTTCAAGCGATTCTCCTGCCTCAGCCTCCCAAGTAGCTGGGATTACAGGCACCTACCACCAAGCCCAGCTAATTTTTGTATTTTTAGTAGAGACAGGGTTTCACCATGTTGACCAGGCTGGTCTCGAACTCCTGACCTCAAGTGCCCACCTCGGCCTCCCAAAGTGTTGGGATTACAGGCGTGAGCCCCTGTGCCCGGTCTGGGTGAAAAATGTTGAGGGTGCCTTTGTTGCTTCCCAATCAATCACAAACAACATCGCTCCACTCCTCTACATCACAGCTTAAAGAGAACTCTGGCAGGAGCTTCACTCTTCTAGATGGGCACTGTTTGTGAGGCCTCTTTTTCCATGGTTTGGAGTAAATGAGGCAAAGATTTAAAATGTATCCCTCTGCTGGGCGTGGTGGCTCACGCCTGTAATCCCAGCACTTTGGGAGGCCGAGGTGGGTGGATCACAACGTCAAGAGATCAAGACCATCCTGGCCAACACGGCAAAACCCTATCTCTACTAAAAATATTAAAAATAAGCTGGGTATGATGGCGGGCGCCTGTAATCTCAACTAATCGTGAGGCTGAGGCAGGAGAATCGCTTGAACCCAGGAGGTGGAGGTTGCAGTGAGCCGAGACATGGCTGGCGCCGCTGCACTCCAGCCGACGGAGCGAGACTCGGTCTCAAAAAAAAAAAAAAAGTATCCCTCGTAATTGGCTCTGGAACAGATTCTACTCCAAAGGCTATGGTTACACAACAGTCTTTAAATTCTCTTGCTAAAGGTGTGTGGGATGATAGACTTGCTCTGGATCCCTTACTAGCTAAACAGAGGAGCGTCTGTGCCGTTGCCGATGCTTCTTGTGGCACATGGAGGAATGTATCAGGTATTAGAAAGGTTCGGTTGTAGGGGATTAACAAACAGGCTGCTTGTTTGAAATGAGTAGACTCTTTATCCAGCTAACTCTCTGATCTATTTGATTTTCGTTGGTTTGCTTCATGGGACCCCACCTAAGGAGCATGCTTCACATTCTTGGTATTAAATATGATCTTCCTGATGGTCATAATACTCGTCTCCCTGGCGCTCTGCATTCTCTCCGGAGTTTTAAATGTTTGCATGCAGCCATCTGTAGGATGCTAAATGGTGTCTCTTTGACTGGAGCAACAAGAACTCAAAGAAACACAAGGCCATGAGGATGTCGTAACCTAGGTACGAATGACATTCTGTGACCGGAAGCTGGAAGTGGCGGTGACTGAGGGTGGTGCCAAGGCCCTAAGGCTTGGCTACACTTTCCACTAAATGAGAACCTGACCAAAGGCAGGGAATTTTTAAACAAAATTATAAGAGGCCATTGTTTTGGACTGAGCTCCCGCAAGAGGCCCCAACGGACCAGACCAAACCCAGATGGAGTCACGCAAGCTAAACGCAACACCATCAAACCGAAGCTTTACGGAAGCAGATAGGTCCTAAGGCAGACCAGGGTTTGTTTTTCTGAGCACATGAAATTCCAGCACAAGGAGGTTCCTCTCTATCCCTTACAAAAATATATAACCCGAGGTCCTCGTTCCCACTTACGAAACCCATTGTTCTGCTATTTCCCAGTGGGGCTTGGGACCAAACAAGTACATTTACAATGGCGACAGGGACACCAATGTCTAAAGGGGGAAATCGTTAAATTAAGCTTGGCGTAAAGCTGCCTCCTGACATAGTTTATGTTCCGCCTTCTCCATCCACTGTGAACTGAAACCTCACTGGAGACGTAAACAGACTGAAGCCTTCCCTTGTGCCACTCACCAGGTTTCCGCTCATCAAGGGTGCCGGCCATTCCAACCGTGTTCAGATAAGGCAAGCATGGAGCTGCAGCCCCTCTGGCGGTTTCTGTGCTTTGCTTCCGTTTTCTGTGCCTCCTTTCCCTTTTCTGTCCACCAATCTTCAGCCACACGGCAGCACCAGAGCCTCTCTGAACCTATTTTGGTTTGGGGGCTGCCCCATTAGCGAGTGGTTCTTTGCTTAATTAAACTCTGTTAAATTTAATTTGTCTAAGGTTTTTCTTTTAACAGTACAGAAAAAGCATTTGAAAAATCCAACGTCGGTTCCTGATTTGTTTAAAAAACATCACTCAGTAAATTAGGAATAGAGGGAACTTCCCTAACCTAATACAGGATATCTATGAAAACCCCACAACCGATGGCGGAAGACTGAACAGTTTCTCACTAAGAACAGAAAGGAGGCTGGGATGTCCGCCCTCATCACCTCCGTCCAACATTGACCTGGAGGTTCCTGCTCGTGCAATTAGGCCCCCAAAAGAAATAAAAGCCATACAGACGAGAAAGGAAAAAGAAAACAATCTTATCTACAGATAACGTGACCATCTAACCCGATGGAATCAACAACAAAAGAAAAACCTGCAAGAACTACTCAGTGAGATTAACAAGGTTGTGGAATAACAAGACTGATATACAAAGTCCATTGTGTTTCTATAAAATGGTAATCAACTATCAGATATTGACATTAAAAATACCACTTCCTAACTGTATAAAAATAGACAATACTTAGAGGTCAATCTGACAAAAGATGTGAAAGACCTCCAAATTGAAAGAGTAAAAAATCCTTGGAAGAAGTGGAAGAAGACCTGAATAAATAGGGACATCCAAGGTTCGTGGATTAGTAAGTTCAATACTGTTAAGATGTCAACTCTCCCTGCATTTATAGAAATTCACAGGTCCATTCTAAAACACATATGGAAAAGCAGAGGAGGAGAAGAGCTAAAACAATCCGGAAAAAGAACACAATTGAAGAGCTAACATTCTAAGAACTCATATAAGACCAGTGTAAGCAAAACTTGAGTGATACTGGTGTAAAAATATTCAAGTAGATCCAAAAGAAAACGGTCCAGAAATCAGCTTACACACACAGACTGATGACTTTTTTTCAGGCAGGGTCTCACTCTGTTGCCCAGGCTGGAGTGCAGTGGTGCAATCTCTGCTCGCTGCAGCCTCAAATTCCCAGGCTCTAGGGATCCTCCCACCTCAGCCGCCCAAGTAGCTGGGACCGCAGGCACCCACCACCATGCACAGTTCAGACTTTTGACAAAGGTGCAAAGGCGACTCGGTGCACAACTGTAGCTTCTTCAAGAAACCATGCTGCAGCAATTTCATATTCTGGAACAACTGGATCTCCATATGCAAAAAGAAAAAGAAGAATAATTTGCATTCGTACCTCACACTATACACAAACATTAACTCAAAAAGGATCGTGGGTCTAAATGTAAAGCTGGAGCCATAAAAACACAGGAGAAAATCTTTATGGCTCTGGATAAGGCAAAGATTTCTCAGACATGATACCAAAAGCACAATTCCTAAAAGAACAAATTGACAAACTGAAATTCATCAAAAATGTTTAAAATTTGCTCTTCAGATGGTTAACGGTGAGAGGACAAGGCCACCAACCAGGAGAAAAATCTTTGCAAATCTATTTCATCAAGGATTGATTCAGAATATATACAAAGAACTCTCACGGTGGCTCACGCCTGTAATCCCAGCACTTTGGGAGGCTAAGGCAGGCGGATCACTTGAGGTCAGGAATTCGAGACCAGCCTGAACAACATGGTGAAACCCCACCTCTACTAAAAATACAAAAATTAGCCCGGCGTGGTGGCAAATGCCTGTAGTTCCAGCTACCTGGGAGGCTGAGGCAGGAGAATCGCTTGAACCCAGGAGACGGAGGTTGCAGTGGGCCAAGATGGCGCCACTGCACTCCAGCCTGGGCAACAAGAGCAAAACTCCATCTCAAAAAAAAAAAGAAAGAAAGAACTCTCAAACTCAACAATAGGAAAACAAATAACCCAATTTTACAGCAACGGGCAAAAGATCTGAACAGATGCTTCCCCCAGCAAGATGTATCAGTGGTGAAGTAGCACGTGCAAAGCTGCACGGCACCCCTGGTGCCGGGAGACACGCAAGCCAAAATCACAGACCGCACCCTCCACGTCTAGGAAGGGCCAAAGTCAGCGAGATGAACCATTCCAACTGCAACAAGAAATGAGAGCTAGGCCGTTTCTGAACAAGTTTCACACACACCTCCCACGGCATCTAGTCGTTTTATTTCTAGGCCTCTCCCCAAGAGTAAAGGAAATGTATGTCCTTCTGAAAACCTGTGTGTGAATGTAAATGGCCACATTACTTTCCATCATTCAAAACTGGAAACCACCCTGATGTCCACCAAGAGACGAACAGATGAGCGGGTTGGGGTGTACCCATGCTGTGGCAATAAAAATGAGTGTTTACAACAGACACAGCAGCAAGCATGGATCTCAGAATAGTTATGCTACGTGACAGAAGTCAGACAAGGAGTGCGTGCGTGCTGCAGGATGCCATTTATGTAACACTGTAAAAAAGCACAAACCCTTGGGTGCAGGGCTCATGCCTGTAATCCCAGCACTCTGGGAGGTGGAGGCAGGGGGGGTCGCTTGAGCCCAAGAGTTTGAAGCCAGCCTGGGCAACATAGCAAGACCTCGTCTCTACAAAAAAAATCAAAAACTTAGCCAGGTGTGGTGGTGGGCACCTGCGGTCCCAGCTACTTGGGAGGCTGAAGCAGGAGGATCCGTTGAGCCCAGGAGGTTGAGGCTGCAAGGAGCTCTCATTGTGCCACTGCACTCCCAGCCTGGGAAACAGAGTGAGGCTCTGACACACACACACACACACACACACACACACACTCCCACACTCCCAGCCTGGGAAACAGAGTGAGGCTCTGACACACACACACACACATTCCAGCCTGGGAAACAGAGAACTTGTCACACACACACATACACACAAACACACACACACTCCCAGCCCGGGAAACAGAGTGAGGCCCTATCACACACACACACACACACACTCCCACACTCCAGCCTGGGAAACAGAGTGAGGGCCTGTTACACATACACACACACACACTCCAGCCTGGGAAACAGAGTGAGGCCCTGTCTCACACACACACACACACTCCCACACTCCAGCCTGGGAAACAGAGTGAGGCCCTGTCTCAAACACACACACACACTCCCACACTCCAGCCTGGGAAACAGAGTGAAGCCCTGTCTCAAACACACACACACACTCCCACACTCCAGCCTGGGAAACAGAGTGAGGCCCTGTCTCTCTCTCACACACACACACACACACTCCCACACTCCAGCCTGGGAAACAGAGTGAGGCCCTGTCTCTCACACACACACACACACTCCCACACTCCAGCCTGGGAAACAGAGTGAGACCCTGTCTCAAACACACACACACACTCCCACAGTCCAGCCTGGGAAACAGAGTGAGGCCCTGTCTCTCTCACACACACACACTCCCACACTCCAGCCTGGGAAACAGAGTGAGGCCCTGTCTCTCTCACACACACACACACACTCCCACACTCCAGCCTGGGAAACAGAGTGAGGCCCTGTCTCTCTCTCTCACACACACACACACACACACTCCCACACTCCAGCCTGGGAAACAGAGTGAGGCCCGGTCACACACACAGACACACACACACACTCACACACTCCAGCCTGGGAAACAGAGGGCCTGTTACACACACACACTCCCACACTCCAGCCTGGGAAACAGAGTGAGGCCCTGTCTCACACACACACACACACACACAGACTCTCACACTCCAGCCTGGGAAATAGAGGCCCTGTCACACACACACACACAGACTCCCACACTCCAGCCTGGGAAACAGAGTGAGGCCCTGTCTCAAACACACACACACACACACACACTCCAGCCTGGGAAACAGAGTGAGGCCCTGTCTCACACACACACACACACACACACACAGACTCCCACACTCCAGCCTGGGAAATAGAGTGAGGCCCTGTCACACACACACACCAGACTCCCACACTCCAGCCTGGGAAACAGAGTGAGGCCCTGTCTCAAACACACACACACACTCCCACACTCCAGCCTGGAAAACAGAGTGAGGTCCTGTCTCACACACACACACACACACACACACACACACACACACACAGACTCCCACACTCCAGCCTGGGCAACAGAGTGAGGTCCTGTCTCACACACACACACACACACACACAGACTCCCACACTCCAGCCTGGGAAACAGAGCGAGGTCCTGTCACACACACACACACACACACACACACACACACAGACTCCCACACTCCAGCCTGGGAAACAGAGCGAGGCCCTGTCTCACACACACACACACACACACACACACTCCCACACTCCAGCCTGGGAAACAGAGTGAGGCCCTGTCTCTCTCTCTCTCTCTCTCTCACACACACACTCCCACACTCCAGCCTGGGAAACAGAGTGAGGCCCTGTCTCTCTCTCACACACACACACACTCCCACACTCCAGCCTGGGAAACAGAGTGAGGCCCTGTCTCAAACACACACACATGCAGAAACTAACCAGAGTGAGACACTGTCTCAAACACACACACACAAAAGCAGAAACCAGAGACCCTGTCTCACACACACACACACACACACACACACTCCCACACTCCAGCCTGGGAAACAGAGTGAGACCCTGTCTCAAACACACACGCACAAGCAGAAACTAACCAGAGTGAGACACTGTCTCAAACACACACACACACACACACACACACACACACACACAAGCAGAAACCAGAGACCATGTCTCACACACACACACACACACACGCCGGCGTGCCCACATTCCAGCCTGGGAAACAGAGTGACACCCTGTCTCAAACACACACACACACACACACACGCAGAAACTAACCAGAGTGAGACCCTGTCTCAAACACACACACACACACACACACACACACGCAGAAACCAGAGAGAGACCCTGTCTCAAACACACAGACACACACACACGTAGAAACCAGAGTGAGACGCTGTCTCTCTCTCTCTCACACACACACACACACACACACACACACAAGCAGAAACCAACCAGGGCATTGGTTGCTTGGGACTGGGAGGTCCAGGGTGGGATGGGGAGCCACACAGGGCACGAGGACAATTTTGGGGCAATGAGGGTGTTTGTCTCCTGATGGGGCTGGCTTCATGGCTGTCTATGTAGATTAAGATGGATGGAATCGTGCAGTTTAAACATGGCAATGGCTGCGTGTCAATGACACCCTCAACGAAGGTGGTTTTAAAAAGTATAAGGCAAATGACAAAACTGGGAAAATATTTTGAATCAAGTATGACAGAGAAGGAGTCATGTCATTCATACATTAAAGACACTTGGAAAAACACGTCAGGAAAACATTCCCACCCTAAGTAATTTGTTCAGGCTGCCATAAGAAAGCACCAAGTCTGGGCAGCTTAAATGACAGACATTTATTCTCTCACAGTCCTGGAGGTTGGAGTCCGAGATCAAGGTGCTGTGGAGCTGGTTCCTCCTGAGGCCTCTCTCCGGGGCTTGCAGATGCCACCATCTCCCTGTGTCCCCAACGGGGCTATCCCTCTGTGCGTGTCTGTGTCCTCATCTCCTCTTGTTATAAGGACACCAGTCCTATTGGATTAAGACCCACCCATATGACTCCATTTTAATTTAATTATGTCTTTAAAGACTCCATCTGCAAAAACAGTCACATTCTGAAGTATTAGCGACTAAGGCTTCAACATATGATTTTTTTTTTGTTGAGACGGATTTCACTCTGTCGCTCAGGCTGGAGTGCAGTGGCACGATCTCGGCTCACTACAACCTCCACCTCCCAGGTTCAAGCGATTCTCCTGCCTCAGCCTCCCTCGTAGCTGGGACTACAGGTACGCACCACCACACTCGACTAATTTTTGTATTTTCAGTAGAGACAGGGTTTCACCCTGTTGGCCAGCTGATCAACTCCTGACCTCAGGTGATCCACCCGCCTCGGCCTCTCAAAGTGCTGGGATTACAGGCGTGAGCCACTGTGCCCGGCCGCAAGGTAAGAATTTTAAGCAGGACACAATTCAGCCTGCAGAAAACATGAGCGACAGACAGAAGCAGCCAAGCCCTGGAATCAGAAATATGAGCAACCGATACACGCACGCCGCTACACCTGGCTCACTTGTCTATTTTTTGTAGAGACAGGGGTTTCACCATGTTGCCCAGGCTGGACTTAAACTCCTGGGCTCAATGATCCACCCACCTTGGCCCCCCAAAGTGTCGGGATTACAGGTGTGAGCCACCGTGCCTGGCCGAGGCTGCAGTTTTCAATGAGGTGGGTGAATGAGGCCTCCGTGGGAAGAGGGCATGGCAAGTGTGCGGGGTCAGCACGTGCCCAGGCCCTGCGGCCCGGGAAGCCCACATGCTACAGGGGCACAAGAAGGCCCACGTGGACCCTCAGAGGCCCCCGACCACGCCATGTGAGAGGCTGACTACCTCTGCCACCCCCTCTTTGTGGCACCCGAGAGCAGGGTGCCTAGGAGGCCAAGAATGGTGGGGGGAACTGGGATTAAGATGGGACTCCTAGAATGGAGGCACTGTTGAGCCCTGGGCCACCAGGAGCAGGTGCTGGGAGGGGCTCTGCTGCTGCAGCAAAGGGGCCAGGTTGGCTGGGAAGGTGGGAGGGAGTGGGGGAGGAAGGTGGGAGGGAGGGGGGAGGGAGAGGGAGGGGCTGATGGGGAGACAAGAAGTCTCTAATGGCAGCTGATTCTGAAGGGCTTCGTCAGGGCAGCACCAACACACCCCCGCCTGCTGTCCTGGTCCTGTCCAAACGCAGCCTCCCATGTGGGTGGGGGGCCTTCTCTTCTGGTTGGGAGAAAAGCCAGGTGGCCACGTGTGTGGCTGGTGATCACAGGCTGGCGCTGCAAGGAGCTTTGAGGCTGCAAGGAGCTCTTGCTGTGCCACTGCACTTCCACACTCCAGCCTGGGAAACAGAGTGAGACCGTCTCAAAACACACACACACACACACACACACACACACACACACACACATACAAAAGCAGAAACCGACCAGGACATTGCTTGCTTGAGACTGGGAAATCCAGGATGGGATGGGGAGCCACACAGGGCACGAGAAAAATTTTGGGGCAATGGGTGTGTCTATCACAGCTCTGGGGAGGGCCGCAGGCTGTTTGGGGGGGTGGTGTCTTCTGGGTTCTATCCTGGTGTAATGCACAATGGCTTTGTGGATGTGAGCAAGCCACATTCCCAGAGCCATGGTCACCCAGCCGGTACACAGGGTCTGAGGATGCTGGACGCAGGCAAGGAGGGTTTGTGGTCCACGCTGTGGCCTGCAGGATGGGCAAGGGCTGGCAACAACCCTTCTGAGCTGCCTGTGCCTCTCCTGTGAGTCCTGCCTGCTCTGCCCCAGGGATCCTGGTGCCTGGGTCTGGCCTCCCCTGGGCTGTCTGGTTCCTGGACAGTGAGAGCCGGTGATCTGCAGCCAGGGCCTGGCACAAGTAGGTGCTGGGTAAAACAAGGGGGTTGCCATTTCTTCCTAATCTTTGAAAACCTGCATTTGAACATGGTGGCTCACTGGTTTGTGCTTACAGTGATTTCGCTACAAGTGTTTGCACCTTTTTGTGTGTTTATTGGCGGGATGAATGAATGAGTCTATGAATGAATGAGTGAGTGTATGTGTGAACAGCCCCTCCCCCACCCTCTGTATGAATGAATGAATGAGTGTATGTGTGAACGGCCCCTCCCCCCACCCTCTGTATGAATGAATGAATGAGTGTATCTGTGAACGGCCCCTCCCCCACCCTCTGAATGAATGAATGAGTGAGTGTATGTATGAACGGCCCCTCCCCCACCCTCTGAATGAATGAATGAATGAGTGTATGTGTGAACAGCCCCTTCCCCACCCTCTGTATGAATGAATGAATGAGTGTATGTGTGAACGGCCCCTCCCCCCCACCCTCTGTATGAATGAATGAATGAGTGTATCTGTGAACGGCCCCTCCCCCACCCTCTGTATGAATGAATGAGTGTATGTATGAACGGCCCCTCCCCCACCCTCTGAATGAATGAATGAATGAGTGTGTGTGTGAACAGCCCCTCCCCCCACCCTCTGTACGAATGAATGAATGAGTGAGTGTATGTGTGAACGGCCCCTCTCCCCCACGACCTGATTCTCATCTGCAGGCTGAAAGTGCTTTCCCAGCTGAATTCGTACGTTCCCTTAAAACCCTTCAGGGACCCTCACTGTAAAAACGCCCCAGCTCCCCCAGCCTGACTCGCAAAGCTCAGTTTAGGGGCTGCCCTTGCAGCGGGGCTCCTGGCTCAGGTCTAGCAGGTGGAAGCAGAAGAGCATGTCCCGACACACCGATGAGAAGTTGCTGAGGACGTGGAGCAGCAGGAAGCACCACCTTTGCAGTGGGAACGCCAAACAGTGCGGCCACTTTGGAAGACCGCGGGGCAGTTTCTTACAAAATCAAACGTCCTCCTACCATACAACCAGCAATGGCCCTCCTGGGTGTTTCTGCAAATGAATTGAAAACTTGTGTCCACCCTAAAACCTGCACACACATGTTTGCAGAGGCTTTATTCATTACTGCCGAGACTTGGAAGTAAACAAGAAGTCCTTCCGTAGGCAAAGGGATAAACCGAGGTACATCCAGACAATGGAACAATATCCGGCCCGAAAAGAATGCACTATGAAACCACAAAAAAACCCAGAGGAGCCCTAGCTGCATCTCACTCATGGCAAGAAGCCAATCTCGAAAGGCTACGTGCTGTATGATTCCAATGATACCACAGCCTGGAGAGGGCAATGCCAAGGCGGCAGTGGAAAGAGCCAGGGCTGCCAGGGGCCGGGGGAGGCAGGAATGCACAGGCAGGGCAGAGGCAGCTTTTCAGGCAGTGACACTTCTGTGTGACACCATAGTGGTGGCTAAAGGACATTTTGCAAGGATGAAACCTGGGGGTAAACTCTGGACTTAATAGTAATGCATCAGTATTGGTTTATCAATTGGAACAGATCACACCACACGATGCAAGATGTTAATAATGGAGGGGCACTCAAGGAGAGGGGGTCTGTGGGAACTCTGTATACTCCCTGAGCAATTTTTCTGTAAGCCCAAAGTTCCTCTAAAAGATAAGGTCTACTTAAAAAGGACCAATTATTGGGCCAGGTGCAGTGGCTCATGCCTGTAATCCTAGCACTCTGGGAGGCCGAGGCAGGTGGATCACCTGCGGTCAGGAGTTCGAGAACAGCCTGGCCAACGTGGCGAAACCCCATCCTTATTAAAAATACAAAATCAGTTGGGCGTGGGGGCCCGCACCTGTAATCCCAGCTACTCGGGAGGCCGAGTCAGGGGAACTGCTTGAACCTACGAGGTGGAGGCTGCAGTGAGCCAAGACTGTGCCATTGCACTCCAGCCTGGGCTACACGTGACCCTGTCTCAAAAAATAAAAAATAAAATACAATAAAATAAAATAAGGGCCAGGCATAGTGGCTCACGCCTATAATCCCAGCATTTTGGGAGGCCAAAGTGGGCGGATCACGAGGTCAGGAGATGGAGACCATCCTGGCTAACATGGTGAAACCCTGTCTCTATTAAAAATACAAAAATTAGCCGGGTATGGTGGCGCACGCCTGTAATCCCAGCTACTCAGGAGGCTGAGGCAGGAGAATTGCTTGAACCCGGGAGGCAGAGATTGCAGTGAGCCAAGATCGCGCCACTGCACTCCAGCCTGGCGACAGAGTGAGAGTGAGACTCTGTCTCAAATAAATAAACAAATAAAAATAAAATGACAATTTATTAGTTGTTTATCTGAACTTCAGATTTAACTGGGCCTGTATTTATCTGGCAGCCTCAACCCCGTGCAGACCATTGATCTCAGGAGAGGCAGGCAGAGCGGAAGCCGCGCTGGCATTTGTGTTCAATGGCAGGTGGGAAGGAGGAAGAGGAGGTCTCCACTGGCTCCCCAGGCATCTCAGAGACCCCCCATACTTAGCATGCCTTCCGGAGGATCCCATTAGCAGACTATCAGAGAAACAGGGATGGAAGGAGTGGTGAGGGGTCTGCTCCATTGTGACCCCACCCCTGCCTCGCCCTGAGGAAGGACCTCAGCTCCTAGCTCAACCGCCGCCCTCCAGCAGCCCCAGTGATCTGAGCAGCACCCACCCGTGACCCACAGCTCGGCCTCCAATCACCCTCCTCTCCACATCGGCCACCCACAACTCTGAACCCAACTTCCAGCAGCCACATATCTCTAAGCACACTGCACAATGTGGCTGCCGAAAGAGGCAGCATTGCATGAACATAAAAGGAAGCCTGAGGACCCCCGGCCCCAGGACCCCCCTTCTCCAGCTCCATCCCTGTCCTGCGGTCTGCTCCTTGGGCCTGGCCAAGGGCACCTGCTGCTGGGCAAAGGCCTGTCTGGTCACCAGCCTCCTGGGACCCTGCCACTGGCAGCCTGGAGCTTCTCCACCTCACGCAGGCCTGGACAACAGTGGGGACGGCTGCCACCACCTTCCCTGCCCACTCTGGCCCACTTCTCACTCCATCCTGCTTCAATGCCTTCATGCTAGATAGACCCCCTGGAGTCATTTCCACTCAAACCCACCCATCAGGAGGAACTCCAGCCCTACCCGGCCCAGGCCCTCGGAGGGGCACAGTGCCCTCTCCTCCTCCTGAATTTCCATCAACCCCAGTGCCCTCCCGCAGCCCTGTTCCCACCTGCAGGCCTGGGCCCCCTGCCCCCAGCAACAACCAGGACCCATGGCCCCGCTTCTTGCTCTGAAGCATGACACCCCTGCCTCTTGCTCTGAAGAACACTTAGGGTGCTGTTGGGTGCGGGAACAAGCCAGGCTTGGGGGTGGGGGGCACGGGCAGTTAAAGAGATAGATGGAGAAGTGGCCTGAATCCAGCCACCAGGCAGAGGAAACCAGGGGAGGAGGGAGAGGCCTGGGGACAGGGGAGGGAGGCTGCTGCCCTCTACTCCCGAAGGGTCCCAGCAGCCCTCCTGGCCAGCACTACCCAAGGAAAGGAGTGAGGACTGGGCCTTGGACGGGGGTCCCTGTAGAGAGGGCCTTGCCAGAGGCTGGAGGGGGCTGGCCAGAAGGGTGGAGAGGGGGTGAGCAAACGGCAAGGCCTGAAGAGGCCAGTGGCCCTCTTGGAGGAGGCGTGGTGGGAGCACCGAGGATGGACAGCGTGGCTGGTGTGGCCAGCGTGGGGGCTGCCAACCGGGCTGGCCAGAAGGGCGAGGTGAGGGGCCCTGGGGTTCCGGGCTCCCGGGTAAAAACAGCCAGATGGAGAGAGGGGCTTCAGACCCCAGGCCCGGGGACCCGCCCTCCCCAGCACTACAGCCCCGGTTCTCCACTTCCAGCTCCCAGCAGCTGCAAGCGCAGCGGTGCGGGGCCAGGCTGTGGCCTGGAGCTGCCAAAGGGCAGGGGCACGGGTGTGGGGGGCGTGCAGGCCGGGGTCCCGGGAGGCAGGGCAGACAGGCCCGAAAGAGTGCGACGGCGGCGGGAGGTCTCTGGGGCTGGGAGGGGTGCGGGCGTGGGCGGGGCGCGAGCAGCAGGGGCGCGGGCCCGGGCTTCAGGCTGTGGGGCCGGGAGTGCGGGGCGGGACTGCTGCGGCCCCGCGTCCTGTGGAGTCTGCGGCGCGGGGAGTGGGGGTCGGGGCGGGGAGGAACGTGGGGTGCGGGACAGGAGGGGGGCAGGGAGGGAGAAGAAGGCGGCGCGGGGCGGGGCGGGCGCAGGGCTGGGGACGGCACGGGCGCGCGGCACGGGCGCTGGCGCGTGCGGGGGGGGCGGCGCGGCCTCCGGAAGCGAGGGGGCGCTGTGCCAGGCGGCGGCCGTGCGGGGCGGGCGCGCTGCTCCTTCCGCCTCGCGGACCCCGGAAGCGCGCGTGGCCGCCATGGCGCGGAATGTGGTGTGAGTAGGGGTCGTCACCCCCCCGTCGCGGGGCGCCCCTTAGTGTCACAAGCAGACGGACCCCACAGGGCGCGCGGACTCCGGGGAGCGGGGTGGGCGTCCCTGGGCCGCCTCCTGGCCCGGGCGAGGCAGGGTTCTCCGGGACCCCCTGTCATGCCTTGAGACACGCGAGGCGGGTGGCGGAGGAGCCCCCCGCCAGGTTTAGGGCAACCCCAGGGGGCGGGCGTGGCCGGGCTGGGGACAGAGGGTCCGAGCCAAACCCATGGAGGCCACGGTGCCCCCGCGTGGGGAGTGGGAGGGTGGCCCGGGGTCAGGCCCGGGGCTGGTCCCGCAGCCAGGGCCGAGGGAGCTGTTTGGAGACGTTTCTGATCGTCACGGGGCGGGGGCCACGTCGGCTGTTGGGTCCAGGCGGGGAGGCCCGGGCGGCCCCCACCGCAGCGCGGGCGCGGCCTGAGGCAGAGGAGCTGGGAATCCAGATTGGGTTTGAGTGGGAAAGGGCAGCTGACCGCAGCCCTCAGGGCTTTGGGGCAGGCAGGGCGGGAGGCCCGGTTCTGCTCAGCCCAGACCCCCCACGCCCACTCTGCATGTTCTCTGGATTCCCAGGGGGCCATCGGGGCGCTGTCCTGCACCACTTCGCCCTCCCCAAATTGAAGCAGGAAGCCCTGCATATTTCTTGGTGAACGAATGACTCAGGCGTAATCAGTAGATGTGGGCTCCCGGGTGGGTTTTGGAGAACAGTAATCAGTGTTTCTGGAGAGGGACGGTCAAGGGGCCAGGGTGTGGCTTTGGAGGCCCCTGCACATAGCTGGGGAGAGAGGGGAGGGTGGCAGGTGGGACCCCCAGTGGAGGAGGCTTCCTTCAGCAGACACCTGGGACCGGTGCTGCGCGTGGCCCTGACCTTGGGGAACACCCAGCACCAAGGAAGAAAAGGTCTGAGTGAGGCCAACACTGCCCTGAGCCTCACGTGAATTCCACGCTGGCCCTTCGCCTGTCCCTGGAGAATGAGGAGGAAGTGAGGGTCAGAGGACCCGGGTGGGGTGTTCCTGAAGGGCCAAGGGTGGTGGGCCCCTGGAAACGGATCAGGTGTGGTTGCCTTGGAGGCAGCGGGGCCCGCTCGCCCAGCAGTGCACACACTCCTGTTGCCAGGGAGCCTTTGCAGGGAGCGCTGACTGGACTTGCTGTGGACTGGATGCAGCTGGGGTGGGGGTGCCGAGAGGGTGGGATCCTGGGTGAGTCACTCGTGGGGCCGTGGGGAGGCAGGCTGGTGGCAGTGAGCCAGGTTTTTGTGTTTTGAGGAAGAAGTTAGTGCAGAGTTCTACTTGAGATAGGTTACCGTGGAGGTGCTTGTGAAATCCCATGCGGAGTGCTTGGGGTGCTCCCTGGGGAGAGTGGGACTGAGGGAACTGAGGGCTGGTGGGCCCACAAGGGTTCGAGAACAAAAGAGAGGCCTTAGAGCCCTGTCCTGGGGCCCTGGGTGTCGACAGTGCAGATTGTTCCAGATCTGCAGGCTCCATGCACAGGCAGCTGGCGCTCCAGCCTGGAGAGGCTCGGCCTGTGGGAACAAGGACAGTGAATCGTCCTGGCCCAACCCCTGCCAGCCTCTCATCTCAAGCCCACACATGGCCCTTCAGACCCTTAGCAAAGTGTGCCCTTCAGGCCCCAAGCCTGGAGACTCGAAAATTAATGGCCTGGGAGCTGTTGAACCCTCTTTTCTACTGTTTACTGGGAGTCCCCAAACTTTGTCTCCACTCCTGCAGTCCCACAGCTGGTCACCAGAGGGAATGTGTGAGCCCCTCGGGTGGCCATGGCTAGCCTGAACCTGTGGGTAAAACAAGTCAGGCCCCTCCACCTCCAGAGCCCACCCTTTCTTCTCGGCCTCTCACTGGGGCCCACCCCTGAAGGCTGCACTCTGAGGCTTGGAAAGGCCAAGGCCATGCCCAAGAGGAGGCTCTGCTGGGGTTGGGTGAGTGAAGACTCAGCCCCACTGGCCCGGCCACCAGGCTGCCATGTGTCAGTGTGGTCATCAGGAGGCCTGGGGTGGACATGATTAGTGATCGGGCTTTGTTACAGGCGCCTTGCCTCTGAGAGGTCCCAGCAGCTCCTGGCCCCTGCCAGGCCCTCAGGCCCAGAGGCTCAGTGCTGCCTACCACTGTTGGCCCTTCAGGAACACCCCACCCAAGGCCTCTGACCCTCACTTCCTCCTCATCTTCCCTAGACAGGCAGAGGCCAGCGTGAAATTCATGTGAAGCCTGGGGCAGCGTTGGCCTCACGGAGCCCCTCTTAACTTGGTGCTGGGTGCTCCCAAGGCCAGGGCCATGTGCAGTGCCTCAGATAAGGCCACCAGAGACCCCTCAAGAGCCCCTGTGCTCCCCGTCCACCAAGACCTGCACCTAGGCTCTCAGACCCCACATCCCCCGAGACCCAGCAGGCCTGAGTTTCTCCTGTGCCCCTCCTCCCCCCAGCTCTGAGGCCCAGATAGAGCCAGGGTGTGCCGGCAGTGGCAGGGGCGGGAACGGGGGTGGGGGACGGTAGGACGGTGCTGCCTGTCCACCCAGCTGAACGTGGGAGAATGCACGAAACCAACTGGCTAGAGATTCTGCACGATCGTCACCTGGCCCCCCAGCCCAGGCAGCGTGCTGGTCTAGTTTGCGGTGGCCACTTGGCACCTCTCCATCTGCCTCTGCTGGCTTTTAGTGGAGTGCTGGGGTGTGGTGCACTCAACTCACATTTAGTGTACTGAATCAGAGTCTTGGCAGCACCGTCTTCCAGGAGCCTAAGCCTGGTTAGCCTGCGTTCTCCATACCGAGGAGCTAGGCCCTGCTGCCACCGGGAGAGTGCGGAGCTGGCCTTTTCTGTCCCATGGTGTGTGGTTCTCTGCAGCTCCACTTCACCCGAGCAGCAGGAGAGTGGGCCGGCCGCGTGGGGTCTGCTCTCCCAGGGGTATCAGTGCCCCAACACACGTCTTTGAGCCTTGCCATCAGCTTATTGGGGGAATGCTGTCTGCGGGGTTCTGATTTTTGTCCATTGGCCTTTTCTAAAGTCTGACCTTGGGGGTCAACAGCGCATGCTCCTTAAGTCGATGCTAGGGACTGGCCGTCCACCTTGGCAGGCCCATGTGAGAAAGGGGCTGTGGGGACCTCTGTGTCCTTGGGTGGTGACCTGCTGATAGCTACCCCGTTTCCCGCCCACCCCTGTTGTGAGTGGACACGCGGGGGTCTGCAGGGTTAGCTACCCTGTTTCCCGCCCACCCCTGTTGTGAGTGGACACGCGGGGGTCTGCAGGGTTAGCTACCCTGTTTCCCGCCCACCACTGTTGGGAGTGGACACGCGGGGGTCTGCAGGGTTAGCTACCCCGTTTCCCGCCCACCACTGTTGGGAGTGGACACTCAGGGATCCGCAGTGTTAGCTACCCCCTTTTCTGCCCACCCTGTTGTGAGTGGACACTCGGAGGTCTGCAGGGTTGGTGTGTCGGGCTGCCTTGGCCTAAGTGTGTGACATGGACCCAATCTCTTCTGTACAGGTACCCCCTGTACCGGCTGGGTGGCCCACAACTTCGGGTGTTCCGAACCAACTTCTTCATTCAGCTGGTGCGGCCCGGTGTGGCCCAGCCCGAGGACACCGTGCAGTTCCGGATCCCCATGGAGTGAGTCCGGGAGGATTCCGGCTGGGGTTGGGGAGCACCCTCGGGGGGATCCCCGTGGAGTGAGCCCGGAAGTTTTCCCGCTGGGTTGGGAGAGTGCCCTCAGGGGGGCCTGGGTCCTGAGTTAAAACAACTCTGCTCACGTGCTAGCCTCTTCCTGCTGGGAAGGCACCTCAGGCGGCCCTGCCCGGCAAGTATTGATGGAGTGCCTGTAGGTGTGGAGCCCGGCAGGCAGGCTGCACGCCGCCCTCCACCCGGGGACGGCTTCACTGGAAGCCTTAAAATTTGGACCTCTGTGCTCGCGTCTTCTGTTGAGTTCTTGCAGCTTCTTTTTAGGAGAGGCGCCCTGAGAGGCTGGGTTGGGAGCAGGCCGTGATGTACAGAACCGCTCAGAAGAGCCTGCTTGACCTTCAGAGAAATGCACAGTCCCTACGAGCAAAACTGGGGTGCTGCTCTGCAGTGTTTAAGTTCACAGGTCCCCAGCTCAGGGTTGATGCGAGCCAGGCGGGGCAGCAGCGTGAGCTCCCCTGGGGGCGAAGGTCAGGCCTGTGCAGCCTGCAGGGGCCCAGAAGCTGAGTTGACAGTGACCGTGAGGTTCTGCAGTAGAGGGAACTTGCAGTTAACGCACCGAATGCCAGGCAGGCCTTTCCAGAAGGTACTTCCTAGAACCGCATCAGTCCCATCAGCCGCAGAGCAGGCCTAACCCTGATGCGGCCACTGGGCCCCGGGGCAGACGAGGTGGGGCACCTGCCAGCCAGGAGCGTGCAGAGACTGTCACCTCCTCTCACAGGCACTTGCCCGGAGCAGGGAGCCATGTGGGGCTGTGGAGCAGGCCAGGGGTTGGTTGGGCAGTGCTCCCACTCTGTGGGGTCTGTGCCACTGCCACCCCATGCTGGTGTGCCCAGAGTAGGGAGTCTTGCAGCCAGCAGCACTGGTGTTGCTGGGGCTGCCTGGCCTCACTAGTGCCGCTGATGTACCCAGCCCTCCTCCCTGCCCCCTGTGGGTCTTGGTCTGTCGGCCTCTCAGCCTCGGGTGCTTGTGCATCTGGGACAGTATTTTTGGCTTTTAGCCTGGTTAAGATGCCGTTTTCTTTCTCCTTCGCCTCCAGAATGACAAGGGTGGACCTCAGGAATTACCTCGAGGGCATCTATAACGTGCCCGTGGCTGCTGTGCGGACACGGGTGCAGCATGGTGAGTGCCCATGGGAGGTTCTCCTGTTGGTGTCGTGCCCATCTGTGCCACATGCCCACCTCGCCGAGCCACAGCCTCAGCTACTGCATGGGGGTCTTGGTCTGACGTGGCTCATGGGAAACTGAGGCACAGGGTGACTTGTCAGGGTCACACGGTGCTTACGTGCCAGAGCAGGGATTGGAATTCAACTGGGCTGGCCCGGGGTCCATTCTGAGCCCTGACTCCTGCCGTCAGCCCCCGAGGTGGGACTGCAGTGGCTGAGGCTGGGGAGCAAAGCGCTGTCTGTTCCATAAGCCCCTGTCGTGTGCCCTGGCTGGTGCCACGTCCGCTCCTTTGTTGAGAACCTGCTGGCCTCTGTTGGGAGAAGGGAGGAGCCTGGGAGCCTGCTGTGCTGGCTCGTTTGATTACAGTGCCCATTTCCCTGAGAAATCGCCTTTTTGAGTTTTTAAAAACATATTTACATTTTTAAGAGAGCAGAGGTTCGTTTTAGTGGCATTGACCTCTGAGGATGTAATTTTTTAAAGTTCTGATTTTTTTAAAGTTCTGATTTTTTTTTCACTCCCTTCCGGCAGGCTCTAACAAGAGAAGAGATCACAGAAACGTGAGGATCAAGAAGCCGGACTACAAGGTCGCCTACGTGCAGCTGGTGCGTGTGAGCTGGCCAGCCCCAGCGGGGCCTCCGAGGGGCTCCTCGCAACTGTGTCCTTGGGGATGTTTGTGCCGGAGACGCTGCGCTGGGGCCCAGGGAGCCCCCGTGAGGCCGGATCTCAGGGCCTCAGCGCAGAGGCAGGCTCCACATAAGGTCATGCTCCGTCACGGCCTTGGGGGTGTTAGTGGTGGCGCTGGGAGCACGTGAGCACTGGGGCACATGGGGCACGTCTCAGCGTCCGGCCGTTTTGTGATTTTGAAGTTTGAATTCTCTGTGGGCAAAGGCAGCCATCACAGGCCTAGTGGGTTTCAACTCCAACGCACACCAGGGTGTCAGAGCATGGGAGGCCCCGGCCTCTGGAGAGCCTGTCCTTGGCTGGGTTTCAGCCTCGGAGGCAGAGTGTGAGGCCCCTGAGGGCAAAGGTCTTTGGTGCCAAGGCAGGTCTGGCTGGCCGGGCTGTTGGCTGAGGCCCATGTCCTGCATTGCAGGGTAGCAGGTCCCACGTACTTGTTAGGGCTCAGCAGGCTGCTTCTGAGCAGGTGCTTTCTTACGTATCCTGGGGGGCTCTGGGGAGGAAGAACCCTCACCCCACGTTGCCTGGGCCTTCAGTTTCTGAAACCCAGACTTGTCAGGAGTGAGACCCACAGTTTCAAAGCCTTTCTTTGGGCTCTTCATTTTGAGTCCCAGGCAAACCCAGAGGCACTTTCTCTCTGGGCCAAGATGTCCACAGCCTGCCCCGGCCGCCTCCTGGGCCTCCCCACTCTGCCCCTGGGGCTGGCCTTACTGGGTGGGGATGGGGTTGTCTTCCGGTGTAAATGGTCCCTGGAGGCCGAGCCGGCGGGCCCTGCCACTAGATGGCAGTCACACGATGGTGGAAACCGCCTCCTGGGCCAGCCGGCCTGTTGTGGGGCTAAGGAGGCAGTTTGTGAAAAAGGCCAAGTTAGCATGGCAGCTTTTCTGAAAAACAGTCACATTTGTTGTTCTAAACAGGGGCCCCCGGAATAATTTGGCCTGATATTTGCTGTGCATGAAATCAGCCAATCCAGGTGGGGAGAGCAGCCGTTGGCCTCATAAAGGCCTCTGTGTGCTCAGTGTCAGTCGGGCCCATCTGTCTTTGTCATGGCATGTGGGTGGACATCCCGTGTGCCGGCACCGCCACGGGCACTTCAGAGGCAGCTACGGTTACAAGTGGCATTCAAGTCATCCGAGCCCTTGCGTTCTTCCTCTGGGCCCCACCTCCCATGAAAACTGAACCCAGCAGCTCCGGGATCCGGTGTCTGCAGCTGCTGCCCGCGTGTTGTTCTCCCTCTGTGAAGTCCAGGCAGCCAGAGACAGGGCAGGGCAACTGGGAGCCTGAAGGGTCCCAGTTGGGCATGGATCCTCCTGTTCCAGAATGAAAATTTGTAACGGGTCCTCACCCCCCTTCCTGAACTCCAGCACATCTTTGCACAGCCTAGAAATGGGCCGTGGCCGTTGGTCCCTGTCTGCCCGCAGAGGGGACTCTCAAGGCCCTTTCCTGTCTCGTGTCTGCTGAGACCTTGCTCAGCGTGTCCCCCTGGGCCCTGCGCCAGGGCTTAGAATCACTGCTAATTGCAAAGCCCAGGGAGGGAGCATTGGAAAGGTAAAATTATCCACGTTATTTGGAGTTGGCCGCTGTGGAAAGGCCCTGTCCCACGTGGCGGGAGTCCCACATTTCTTTCTCCGACAACCTGATAAGCATCTCCTTGGCCCAAAGTCCTGGGAGCTGAAAGCAGCGCCTCAGTGACCCACACAACAAAAAGACCATTGACTGCCCGCTGCCCCGAGGCTTGTGTGGATGCTGAGCAGCGCGGGAATGAAGGGCGCGCAGGAATGAAGGGCGCACGACATGAGAGGCAACTCCAGAACAAACCGCTGCCGCCAGCTGGGCCGAGCTCCGTGCTCGGGGCTCCGGCCTCCAGGTCCAGGCAGGCGGCAGCCCCCAGGGCGCCCTGGGATTCCTGAAGGCAGGGCTGCCTTGTTTACTTGTCATTGGGACATTTTTCTCCATTCCTGTTCTTTACCCCGATCAGCTGTCTCTCTCCTTTTTGGAAGGATCAAGGGCTTTTTTTTTTTAGGTACAAGGTGAACTCTTCTAGAAAGGGGAAGCCCCTGGGAAACCATGCTTGGCATCCCCAAACGGTGTTTGTCTCCTGTAAGAAACGGATTTTCTCTCAGCACCTTTCCCCATTTCTTCCCGAAGCTGTGACAAATGGCCATGTTTGTGCTTTAAACTGTCATTTTGGGTTCCCCTTGCCTCGGAAAACTAGCAGAATCACCTCCATATAGTCAAGGTGAATCTCCCATTCTGGGCAGTCAGCCTCACGTGTAAACGACTGCCCCTTGGTATTTTAAAAGACGCAAAGTTCAGAGCTGTGTAAGGCAATCCTCCTGCAGGCCGGCTACGGCGCACGCAGTGCCACTCTCCCCGCCAGCCCCTGCGCTCTGCGCCAGGGATCAGGGTGCATACACCTCCCTCGCAGGGTGGGATCTGGGCCTGTTTCAGATCATACTTGGCTGCCTGCCCACATCCAGATTTATTTACACACAAAGGGTCTGCAAGAGCCAAGTGTACCTGACTGATTTTACTCACTAAAGGGTTCCAGATTCGGGTGCCATCCTCACTCCTCCTCCCTCTTCTCTTCCCTCTCCTCTGGTCTGCTCTTTCTGCCTCTTAGCTTTGGAGCACTTAGTAATCATTAGCAAGTTAAGATGGCTTCTTGTATTTGCTTAGGTCCCCAAGGAGCAGTATCCCCTCCTTCTCGTGAACCCGAGCCACATGCTGTGGCCTGGGCTGGGGCTTGGCTGACACGGACATATTCTGAACTCTCAGCAGAAGATGTAAGACCAGTTAATTGGCAGAGCCGGTCCTGATTTATCAACTGCCGCACGTGCATGTTTCTTCGTACGTGATGTTCACTTTAATTGCCAGGCTCTGGGCTGGGAGGAGGGGGAGCTTTAATGTGAGTAGAGCCTGAGGCATTTTGGATGGACAGGTTCAGCATGGTACCAGACGTGATTTGTGTCATGTTTTTCCATGCCTTGTTTCTGCCCCCCACCAACCAGGTGGCCCCGTGCTAGTAAATGGGTGCACCCAGGGCGGGGGCAGACACCAGGCCCTAAAGAGACAATGGTGGGGAAAGCGGCCCTGTCCTGGAGCTGTGGCCTCTGCTGCAGCGTGACAGCCGGGGGCCGGTGGCCGTGGGGGTGCTTACATTCCAGGCAGGGACGCTGCCCCAGGAGGCCCAGGGAGGTACCTCTGAGCAGTTGAATCCGGCGCCGGCAGAAAGGGGCTGCCAGAAAGCATGAGGCTCCCCCACAGACCCCTCTGCTGAGGAGTCTTTGCAGCTCTGGCTGGAGCCTTTGTTCTCCCCCTTAGGCCCATGGACAGACCTTCACGTTCCCAGATCTGTTTCCCGAGAAAGACGAGAGCCCTGAAGGCAGCGCTGCCGACGACCTCTACAGCATGCTCGAGGAGGAGAGGCAGCAGAGGCAGAGCAGCGACCCGCGGCGGGGCGGCGTCCCCAGCTGGTTCGGGCTGTGACGGGGTGGCCAGCAGGGACGCGCCCCAGGTGGGCAGCTGTGGCAGAGCAGCGACCCGCGGCGGGGCGGCATCCCCAGCTGGTTCGGGCCGTGACGGGGCGGCCAGCAGGGACGCGCCCCAGGTGGGCAGCTGTGGCAGAGCAGTCCCGACACCTAAATAAAAGTCTTGCTGCAGGAGAAAGAGCCGGAAGCTCTGCTTCCTTCTTCTCTTGGGTCTCTGGGTGCCAGACACGCAGCAGCCACCCCCCAGCTCTGAGCGCCACGTGGCCTGGCTCCGCTTTCCCAGGGTCTGGGCAGTGGGCGCGGCCGGGGTCTGGTCTCTGAGTTGACGGGGAACTGAGGGTGGGCAGACTTGAGACGTGGCCCCATGCTGGGGAGGCGGGTTGGCCAGAGAGGGCCACACACAGGCTCGGAGCTGCATGCCAGGTGGGGAATGAGACACGCAGGTGAAAAGACCCAGAAGATAGTTCTGAGCGCCCACATTCAGAGCCTGAGCCCAGAGGCGTCGGGAGGAATGGAGGGGTCAGCGTGAGCACGGGGCGGCGCCGGGTGAGAGAACGGCCTGGCCTGGACAGAAGTTCTGGGGAGGGGCTGCCAGGGCAGCAGCCCTCAGGGGGCCTGGTGAGGGAACTCCGGCCCGCCTGTGGGTTTCGGTTTGGCACTGTTGGCAGCAAGAACCCGAGAAGGGCCGGGAAGGGATCCGAGGGCAGCAGTGTCTCAGGAGAGCCATGGCGGAGAGGTGCCGTCGGGCGGAGAGGTGCCGTCGGGCACAGGCCCGGGGCTGGGCCTAGGGGACAGGGAGGACCCAGCCTGGAAAGGTGGTTAGGGCAGGGGGCAAGGTGTGGCCAGCAACCACTGCAAAACAGTTCTGTGGGCTTCTCGGCCCTGGGGGTGGACAGGTCGAGAGAGGAGAGGGTGGGCTTGAGCATCCTGTTGGAGGTGCCCAGTGGCCTCGCAGTGTCTGGGTGGATGCCTGGGTCTAGACCCTTGTTCTGTCGGCCCAGGGCAGGTCAGGACGCACGGCCCCTGCTCTGATTCTTGTCTAAAGGGTTCTGCGTGGAAGCCTGTGGCCCTGCCAGAGGCTCTGTGCTGCCTCTCCTAGCCTGGCCTGGCCTGTGGGAGCAAAAGGGGGTTGCCCGGCCGCCGTTTTTGGGGCCTGAACCTGGCAGACTGGCCTGGGTTCCCGTTCCAGCAAAGCTGGACAGGCCAGCCGGGGCAGCCTCCAGGGGGCCCTGAGCTGGATACAGAATTGATTTTTGGTTTTAATGATGTCTTATTCAGAACCTTCCAAGGAGCCCGGAAGGTTTCCAGCCCCTCTTCCCAGAACCCCTGCATCTGGTGAGGCCCAGGGCCTCCAGAGCCCCTTCTGGCCCCGTCTCCATGCGGCAGCTGGTGCGTCCTCAGGACGGGTTGCAGAGGCCTGGGGGCCCCTCTGTTTTTCTTAGTCTGTCCTTGGTTCCAGTGCTTCCCGAGAAAATCCAACATGGAGGCCAGAGCAAGGCCCCCTCCCTGCTGTGTGCGGGCAGCTCCGGCTTTGGGGTTGGGAATCAAAACCAGGGCCCACGTGTACGTCGGGAGCCATCTGCGCTCCACCCTGACCAGGACGGAGCCGCACTCGGGCGTCTGGGGGAAAGCCCACGGCGCGGCTTTCTTGCACGAAGTTGGGTTTGCCGTGTAAGCCTCCCCATGCGAATGCTCAGAAGAACACAGGTGTCACGTGGCCTTGGGACCAACCCTGATCTGCAGCGTGGGCCTGTTGTGGTCTGAGTGAGGGTCCTGGCTTTTCCTTCTGCTTGGGCAGCCTTCCGAGGGTCTTGCAAGAGGAGATGGCGTGGCAGCTGGCTCAGCCTCCCCTCCCCCAGCCCGGAGTGCAGGCAGGAGGGGGTGTGGCGGGGGAAGTGTTCGGCTAGGGGGTGAAGGCCCGGGCAAGCTCACCCTTCAGTGTTGATTTAAAGGGATGGGGAAGGTCAGGAAGTAGAGCCGGAGAAATGGAGTCAACTGTGTTTTCCTTAGAGAAATAATTCATGGGGCCTAGAGCTCTGAGGACCCTAACTCACGGCAGGGGAAGAGGAATCCCATCCTTCATCCACGGCACGTCCAGCCCCGCACACAGGGGCCGTTAGCAGCCCTGCTGGCGGCCAGCGCACCAGGCACACTCCATCACGGCCGCCACCCCCAGACGCAGCCCTGACTCCGGCTCCAGCCGCCCCGGCCTCCAGATCCTCCTCCCGCCCTGTCTCACCCCGGCCTGTGCTGTCCCGTCGCAGCCCCCATGTCTCCCACAGGCCTCCCTGCCAGGGAGGAGAAAGGGGCTGGGGAGCTACTGCACCCCCATCTCCACAGCACACCAGGGGCTCCCTCACTCCCCAGTCGTCACTGGGCATCCTTCTGCATGGCAGCCCACTGACCCCGGTAAGGGGCTGGCTGAGGGCCGGGCCTTAGGGGAGATAATAGCCTCAGGGGCCTGCCAAGTGCGTGGCCTGGGCCCAGTCCCAGGGGGTGCCCAGATGGAGGCAAGACCAAAATGCGGGGATGAGCACGGGGTGAGGCTGGGCGCATTTCTTGAAGAATGGGGGATAGGGACGGGCGTGTGGCGGTCCAGCGTGAGAAACAGGGCTGCCAGTCCTCGGCGGGGGTGGGTGATTCACACAAGACCCCACTTTCTGGGTCGTTGACTTGACCAATGGTTTCTGGTCTGAGCCGGGTGTCAGAACTGAGGCCCCCGGGTATCTGTCCCAGCCGCGTGTGGCATGACCTAGCCATGTCACTGGGTAGTCTTCCCCAAAGCATCCACACCCACCTCACATGCCTGCTGCAGAGGAGCGCGGAGCAGGCCGGGGTGGGCAGGCGGCCCCACTCAGGGTCTGGAAGGCTTGGCCTCTCCAAGAGCCCTGCGTGCCGCACCCATGGAGCTGAGCTTGGGGTAGCCAACCAGGGCTGTGCGGGGAGGGCCCACAGGAAGGGCCCTGGGTGGAGTGGGATGCTCGGGTTCAGCTGGGGGTCTGCTCCCACCACCTCAGGCACACACACAGCCCACAGAAGGGACCGGCTGGACGCGCCAGCTCCCGTGACCCGCTCCTGCCTGGAGGCTCAGGGAGGGAGGGAGCAGCACCTGGGCAGGTCTGTCTTTTCCCCAGTACGAGGGCCCACTGTCGTGGCGCATGTGCTCACACAGGCTCTTTCATGCATGGGGACCAGAGAGGGTCTCACAGGGCCCCTCCGGCCCGGGCGTCAACCTCACCACCCCCACACCTGGGCAAGACCCCTGTCCAACCCAAACAGGCTGTTCCTGCAGAAGGAACTCGCCCGGAAAGATGCATCTCCCAAGGCTGACAGGACCACTCCCGCCTGTGTCTGGACATCCTCAGCGTGGCAGGAGTGGGAGAGGGACCCTGACCCAAGAGATAGCAAGTGGGCCCGCGGCCTTGCCTCGGTCGCCCCCAACATGACAGCCCTTCCCCTCGTGGACATCTCCAGCTGGGAGCAGGGTCGGGGACAGCCAGAGACAAAGGCAACAGGACGAGGGAGAGAGCCGACAGCGCTGCTCCGTGTCCCCATTCATGTTCATTTATTGCCATGCAGGGGTGATGCAAGGCCCAGGCAGTGCCATGCTGCGTGCATGGGAAGGGGTGGAGGGCCCTCGGGACCGCACCGGGCTGTGCTCATAGCTGGACGGCCCCACTTCTCTATGCTGATGAGTTTATAGCCATGATGGGCCCAGCTCTACGGCCCACAGGAGCCCATGCCCTGGCAGCTCCAGGTAAGAGCCAAGCTGCCGGAATGGAGCAGAAACCCCTCTGTCTTCTGTCCTCCTCCTCCCCAGGTGCCGCACCCTCGGTCCCCTCCTCTCTATCTCCAGCACCGCTCACAGCTCCGCACCCCCAGAATTCCCTGCATTGTCGTCTCTGCGTCTTGGGGCCCTGCAGAGATGCCTGCAGTGCCCTGTGCGTGGTGGCCAGGGCCTGGGCTGCGGTGTACGTGAGTGCCCGTCTCATCTCCCTAACCGGCTAAGAGTTCTTTCAAGGCCAAGAATTCTTCTCTTTGACCATATTTCCACCCCTCCGCCTGCCCTAAGACGCTCTCCATAGTGGACGCTGCACTTTGCCATGGCATGCCGGGTGGACAGGACTGCTGGGGCCCCCGTGTTCCAGCCTCTCCTGCGCCTCCAGATGCCTCCTGAGGGCATCTGGGGCATCTGGTTCTCCTCTTTGGGAGCTGGCAGTGTTCCTGGGGCGGCTTGATAGTGTCCCATCTATGGCATCACTTCCGTACCTGGTGGCAGATGAGCAGCCAGGTGCTGGGGCAGGAGTGGGCTCTTCCTGTCCCTGGCTCCCTGGGCTCCTCCTCTGCCCCATCCTGCCCCCACCCACCTCCTTGGGCCCCTCTGCCTCAAGCCAACACATGCCTCTGCAGTCTAGAACCTGAAGTCACATTCGCGGTTGCCTGTCTGCACTGGGGGTTCCCATCTTCTGGCCTCCAGCAGGGGACGAAGGCCAGGGACACAGCGGTTCCTCCTGGTCCACCCCAGGGCTTAAAGTGAGGACAGGCTGGAGAAGGCCAGCCCCTTGAAGGTAGCTGTAGTGGCTGCCATCTTGGGACTGCCCTCCCACCTCCCACCTTTCCTGCAACCATCAGCCGTATTAGCTGAGTGAACGAGTGAGTGAGTGAGTGCCCGATTCAGGAAGTCAGCTTGGCCAGGTGGGAAAGCCAGGCTGCCATCCTCTTCCTCGGGCTTTGGTGGGTGCTCCTGGCCAGGGCCTGGCTGAGTGGGCAGGTGGCGTGAGCCGAGCACCGCCTGGCATCCCTGCCTGGCCATGGGGGGTCCCCCAGAGCAGGAGGCCTGTGGCTGCAGTGATCTGAGAGAGCACTGGCCTTGGGATGCTCTTTTCTATTTTTAAAAAACAGCTTTATTGAGATGAAGTTCACATACCCTAAAATCCACCCACTCAATGGCTTCTAGTATATTCCCAGAGTTGTGTAGCCTACTAGGACATTTTCATCACCCAGAAAGCAATGTGCACCCCTTAGCTGGAGCTCCCAGCTCCCTGCTCCCTTCTGCCCCTGGCTATGACTGGTCTGCTTTGGATTGGCCTGTTCTGGATGTTTCATGAGTGAACCACTCAGGGTCTGTGTGGCTTTTCGTGTCTGGCTTATTTCACTTGGTGTGGCATCTTCAGGGCGCACCCATGTCGCAGCCTGCCCCAGGATCTCCTTCCCTCTGTGGCTGAGTCGTGCTCCACTGGGTGAACGGTCCGCGTGTTCATCCGCCGTCCATCAGTGGACACGTGGCGGCTTCCGCCTTTTGGCTCTCGTGAGCAAGGTTGTGGTGCACACGTGTGTGCACATTTTTACGTGGATGTGAACTTGCCGTTTCTCTTGGAGGGATCGGGCATTTTCTTGCCTGGGGTGTGCATGTGAGGCTGCTGTAGCCTCACTGAGGAAGTGACTGTCCCAGGCTCTAGAGGTGCCTGAGGGCGGCCGAGGGATGGGGCCGGCTCCACAGACGTCCCTACCGTGGAGCTCCAGATGGTGTGCTCATGAAGGCGACATCTTCCTGGGCTGCTTCTCACGAGGGGCGCAGGTGGGCTCCCGAGTGGCCTGGAAGCTGGGGAGAGGCGTGGATGCGGATGGCGTGTTGCTCTTGGGCTGGCCCCCAGGCGGTTCCTGCAGGGCGCTGGGAGCTTGGCCCGGGCTGGGGCTCGGGTTGGGGCTCAGGGGTTGGACCGAGGTGCCCAGCCCCAGGGCTCTGGCCGCCTTGTGCATGCTCCCTTCCCTGTCATTCTCTGCCATCTTCGTGTCTCTGTCCTCCTCCTCCCCAGGTGCCGCACCCTCGGTCCCTGCCTCTCTGTCTCCAGCACCGCTCACAGCTCCGCACCCCCAGAATTCCCTGCATTGTCGCCTTTGCGTCTTGGGGCCCTGGGAGCAAGCACGATGCCTGCAGTGCCCTGTGCGTGGTGGCCAGGGCCTGGGCTGCGGTGTACGTGAGTGCCCGTCTCATCTCCGTAGCCGGCTAAGAGTCCTTTCAAGGCCAAGAATTCTT
This sequence comes from Homo sapiens, assembly GCF_000001405.40. NCBI lineage: Eukaryota > Metazoa > Chordata > Mammalia > Primates > Hominidae > Homo > Homo sapiens. The sequence continues at coordinate 154,982 of NW_021160004.1, forward strand.
CTCTTTGACCACATTTCCACCCCTCCGCCTGCCCTAGGATGCTCTCCATAGTGGACGCTGCACTTTGCCATGGCATGCCGGGTGGACAGGACTGCTGGGGCCCCCGTGTTCCAGCCTCTCCTGCGCCTCCAGATACGGCTGCTTCCTGGGTCTGGGTGTCTGAGGGGACGTCCCTCAAGGTTCCCACCCAGCTCAGCCTGTCAGGAGCCGCACCCTGCGAGGCCTGAGACCACACCATGCCGGGTGGGGACACACGGGCCCTGAGTGACCTGTTGGGCATCTGCGTTCACCACCCCACCCTGTCTGAGATCATCCCCAGCACCAGTCCCCCCAAATCGCTTCATTATTTCTTTGTAAATAGGGCTTTTTCTAGTCAAAATAGTCAGCTTTTCTTGTTTCTCCGACATCTGGCTTTGATTGGCCCTGGCCTCCGTGGACGCTGGGGCCCTGACGCTGTGTCCAATGGGGAGGGCCGGCCAGGCCTGCATTCTCCCTGCACAAAGCCAGCTCTGCGAGAGGGTGGGAGACCCCCCACCGTTCTCCCCCTCACATCTGCACTCCTTGCCTTGGCCTGGGCCCAGCTCTGCAAAGCTGAGACCCTAGGGGGCTCACCCCATGGCTAGAGTGACCCCTGCTCTGGGGCGCCCATGGTGGGAGGCTGGGGGCGCTGGCCTTCAGAGACGTCCCTCAGGCCCAGGACAGAGCCGCTACCCCATCCTTCCCTCTGACGTTCTTTGCCATCCTCCCTCACTGAGAGACATGAGACAGAAGATTCCAGAAATCCCATGGAATTCTACATGGAATTCATAGAAGCTCAGATGTGCAGGGTCCGCAGCCTGTCCCAGGAGGGTGCAGCCGTGGGACCTGCAGCAAACATTTCCCGCAGAGACAGGGGTCCACAGGTCCAGGCCCCGTCACCCCAGGGAAGTTGGGGGCTGGAAAGGGATGGGCCCGTTGGGTCCGACAGTAACGCCCCTTCCTGCTTCTCCACTCCTTCCTGCCTGGCATCCGCACGGCAGAGGCCCTCCACGCAGCGTCAGGGACTCGAAGCCCACCTTTGCACAGTCCTCTGAGTTCCCCTGAGGGCACCCCTGAGGCAGAGGCCTGGTTCAGGGCACTCAGTGGGTGGAGAGGCCAGGTAATGAGTGAGCAGCCTCCCCTCCAGATTGGGGAGCCCATGGCCCTGCTCTGCAGAGCCCCCTTAGCCGGGCCAGTCCCGGTCACGCGATGCTGCTCGCCTCCTTCCCACAGGTTCACTGGGAGGGCTTCGTGTCCGTGCGTCCCGTATTCTCAGCGCGGTTGCTCAGCACTCTGCGTGATGACAGTGTCGTGGGTTTTAGCACTGATCGCAGAAGGAAGGGTGCCATTGTCTGTCAGTACGAGACGCCACTGGTATTTGGATAATTATGGAAGTGCTCAAATATCCCAGGATAGAAACCTGAACGCATCCCTGAGGTTGATGAATTGGCGTGTGCCTCCCCCTGCACCCTCCTCACCAATGGGTACCCATGAGCAGCTTCCTGGGGTGTACCTGGGGTGCCCCGGGCCACCCACATGGCCGTCCCTCCTCCGGCAGTGGTGACATTGGGCACATCTGCGCTCCCCGCCTTGGCCTGGGCCCACTGAAGGGAAGTAGCAGGGAAGTAGCCAGAGGACAGCCTGAGCCCGTGACACGGCCCAGTTAGCAGCAGGCTCGGCCGGCAGAACTGACCAGTCACAGATGCCGAGTGAGGCCCATTCCAGGCGAGGACACCGCCGTGCTCCCGGCGCGTGGGCACTGGGCATGGTCCCGGCCTGCGAGAGTTTGCCACAGACCCCAGGAGGAGCGAGCCGGGCCCAGGATGGAGCACAGGAGACCACCAGGAGCGGCTCAGGCCCCGTGTGTGGGGTTGACAGCAGGACCCTGGGCAGTGCTTCGGGGTTGGGAGGAGATGCTAGCGGGGCCAACCCTTCAACTCACTCCCTCTCAGCTTCTCAGCCTGGAGCCAGGGCCGCCCAGGCAGGCCCCAGCTTTCCCAGCTGCAGGCGGCCCCCTCCTCCTGGCCTGGGGGAGGTGTTCCCGGCAGCCCTCGCGCGGCCCAGGGCAGGGGTGAAGCAGCCTGTTAAACAGAACAAGGTGCTCGCGGCTCATACCTTAGCTTTACGAAGTGTTTGGAATTCCGACGGCCCCAGCAGCTGGGTGCGCCCTGCCCCGTTCTCCCTGGGACTTTACCGGCGGCCAGGGCCTTAAATAATTCTTGCAAAAACCATGTCAGCCCCAAACTGTGTGATATCTGATTTGTAGCACTCATAAAACCCCATGCCTGCTGCCAGAGAGGGGGAGGGCCGAGCCCGGCCTCGCAGGTCTCATTTCCCGTCTGCGCGTGCGTGGGCGCGAGTGAGGGGTGCCCTGGGGGAAGGGTGGCCCCAAAGAGCTGGACCCCTGCAGTCCCCGCTGGGGCTCCCGCCTTGCCCTGCGGCCCTCGCCTCCCCGTCGGCAGGGACAGCGTGGGTCCCCCCATCGCCACATTGGAGACACAGCCTGTTGCGCCCCCCACTTTGTTAACTACGCTTGGTAGTCAGGGTGTCCCCAGTGGCGGGAACAGCAGCAGCGGTCTCCTCAGGGCCAGCGGAGGGCACGGCTTCTGCCAGCAGGACAGTATGGATGGCACACCCGCCGAACACTGCGGGCCGAGTGTTGGGGCTTGGAGACCCCACGGGGAGAGGGCCCTGGCCCACCCAGGATGGAGCTCGGGAGGAGGGCCCCCCAAGCAGAGTGGGGGACCGACCGTGTGAAGCGCAGGCTGCTCCCATGCCCTGAGTCAGAGCTGAGGCCATGTCTTGTCTTCTTTCCATGTTCCGAGCAGACCCCCCGGTGCCCGAAGGTGGGAGCCAGCACAGCTCGGCCACTCCCTCCCCCATCATGGGCCAGGAGGTGCCCAGATGACCCCAGGGCAGCTGGGCCTGGCCGTGGGCATCGAGGCATTGAGGAGGAGCTGGGCTCGTCCCACCTGGAATGCCACCTGAGAACATCCTGGTGACCCCGGGCGGGAGTGGGAGCCCTCAGCCTCAGGGCTGCCGGTCAGGGGGCCTGGATAAGCCCGGCTTTGGTTGTGCACACACTGGGGAGGGGGCGGACCCATTGATTGGTGGCTCCTCGGTAGGGGATGGTCATTAAAGCCCCAGATCAAAGGGCTCTGGAAACACACGCTCATTAGGAAGGCCAGCGAGCCGGCAGGCCGGGGGCGTAGATGGGGCTCTGCTGTTCATTCACCACCACCGGGGTCAGAAAACCCAGCCCCCCAACCGCCCACCCCGAGCCACAGGCTGGAGCCACAGAACGCCCATGGGCCTGGGCCATGGTGGGAGAGATTTTCGGGTAGCCCCCAAGGCCCCCACCCTTCTGGCCTTCAGTGGCCATCCTGCGGTTAGTGAGAGGACCGATGGCTGGCCACTGGGACCTGGGACTCGAGGGCCCTGCCCGCGGGTGTAGGAGGGACACATGGGCTGCCCAGGGGCTGGGGCATGGCACTTCCCCCAGCTGGTTCCTAATGGCTGGCAGACAATGGCCACCGCCTGGACCGGGAGCACAGGAAGCTGGGGCCCCGGAGCAGGCCTGGTGGCGGCTTCTGGGAGGGAGGCCTGGCTGTGGGTGTGCGGCCTGGGTGAGGGGCCAGGAGTCCGGGTTTCCACTTTGAGCTGCTGCCTTGCAAGCCTGAGGCCCCTGGCTGTCACTTTGTCTTGATTTGTCTAAAATGTGGAGACGAGGCCAGATGCAGTGGCTCATGCCTGTAATCCCAGCACTTTGGGAGGCTGAGGTGGGTGGATCACTTGAGTCCAAGAGTTCGAGACCAGCCTGGCCAACATGGAGAAACCCTGTCTCTACTAAAAATACAAAAATTAGCCAGGTGTGGTGGTGGGCGCCTGTAATCCCAGCTACTCGGGAGGCTGAGGTAGGAGAATCACTTGAACCTGGAAGGTGGAGGTTGCACCACTGCACTCCACCCTGGGTGACAGAGCAAGACTCTGTTTCAATAAATACATAAATAATAATATAATAAAATAAAACGTGGAGATGATAATGCTTGCCCAGGAGACACGGCCCTCCAGAAGAAGCCCGCCTAACATCGAGCTTCGCCCTGAGGGTCCCCGCCCCCGATACCCAGCCCCTCCTCCCCCGGTGCCTGCTGGCACATGGCAAGCCTGCCACCTCCCTGCCAGGTGGGATTCTGTCCCGCGCTGTCTGTCCCTCACGCGGCCACGGTGTGGCAGAGCATGCCAGGCAAGGGCACCGGAGGCTCAGGCCTCATGGCACGGACCGTTTTTCAGAGATGGCATTGCCACTGCTGGCCTGGGATGGGACCTCCCTCTGTGCTGCCCCTAGACAGCCAGCCATGCACCGATTGGAGCCAGCTCAGCTCCTCCGCAGTCCCCACCCTGGTCAGGGCCTAGCTCTGCCCCCCAGGGGTGTCTCACCCCTTAAGGAGCGTTCCAGGTCCTAGCCTTCCTTGGGACTGTGTCCCCGACCCCCAGGGCTGCCTCCTGCCGACAGGCTGGTCCCCAGTGAGGAGGTGCTGGGGGGCTGCAGGGCCGCCGGGTCGTGTGTCCTGGTCACCCTCTGTCGGGGTGCCTGACCCTGCTCCCCAGAGGGCTGGCTGGGGCTCCTCTGTGGTTTTGGGGCCCTGCCCAGGCACCCTGCCTGGCTTCAGGAGGTCAGCTGCCCCGGGGCTCTGTGCTGCTGCTGCTGTTTTTCTTTCGGTTTAACAAAACAAACCCCACCAGCCGGCAATGGACTGCTCCTGATACGCATCCCTCCTCACCCTCCAGAGGCCCCGCTGCTGGGCACAGAGGTCTTCAGAGCCTGGGATCATGGACCCTCTCCTCCCAACAGCTCTTCAGGGCAGCCCGTGGGGTGCTCGTGGCTTGAGTGAATGGTTGGTTCCCGTCCTGCTGGAGGAGGGGGCGCCCGCCAGGCCCGGGCCTCAGCTCTGAAGTCTGGGAAAAGCCCTCTGGCATCCTGCTAGGGTGCAGGTGTGGCTGAGAACACTGCGGAGCAAACATGCTCAGAACATCAGCCCCCAAGGGTTCCCGGGAACCCAGAGTCCCGGAGCTGGACAGCCGGCTGAAGGATCCCCTAGGTCCTGGGCGACCCCACGCGTGCCCGCGGGATGAGGCAGCTTACACTCTAGAAGGTGCCTCCCAAAATAAAACCCAGGCTCGGGGCCCTGAGGGGACCCTGTGGGGGGGCCCTGTGGGGCTTAGGACCAGCTGCTCTTCCCATCTCAGCCCTGTCCTCCCTACGAGAACATCCCCTGCTCGCCTGGGCCCCTGGGCCTCACCCCAGCTAAATCCACCGGGCCCCTCAGCTGGTACATAACAGGGAAACTATGTGTTCCGAGCCTCCCTCGGGGCTCAGGGAGGACGTGCCCACTTGTGCAGGGTGAGGGGCCAGCAGCTGCCCGGGGAGCGTGATGAAGGCCTGCAGGAATGCCCTTTATCTGAGGGTATCTGGTTGCCCGCCGGGATGCCGGGAAGCCGGAGTTCCAGCCCTCCCCTGACTCCTGCGAAAACAGAAATAGCTCAGGGAGATGGGACACAGTTGTCCACATCAGTCAAGAGGACCCAGCCAGCACGGCCGTTTCTGAACTCTTCTGACCTCAGGCTTTTCCAAGAGTCGCCGCCCGGAGGCCCCTCAGCCCCCAGCCAGGGAAGCTGCTAGGCCCTCCGGAAGCCCCAGGAAGGGGCTAAGAAGGGGCCGCACTGGTCATGCAGAGACCATTTCTGCCACTCCCAAGTTGTTGAGGTCCGAGCCTCTCCTGGCAGCATGGGGCGGGGGCACGTGGGCAGCAGCTTCTGCAGGGGCCACCTTCTGCCCAGGCTTCCTCATATTTGCCTGGGGTCCCCCGCCGCAGGCTCAGCTGCAAGCAGCAGATAGGACGCTGGGTTGGCTGGGGGACCCTGGGGCGTGGAGGGGCTGTGTGGGGCTGTGGGTGCAGGAAGAGAAGCGCTCCTCGTCAGGGGGCAGGGACACAGCAGAAACCCAGGGCGCTTCTCACACCCAGCAGCCTGGACCTGAGACGGCTGGGGGGACCCCGAGGACAGATAGGGTGGCTGGGCGGGGTGCTGTGGGGATGCAAGGGCAGGCGCCGGAGCAGCGGCCTGGGCCTCACACGCTGGACCTCGTGCCTGTCCGTCAGGCTCATGGAACATTCTCGACAAGGCCTGGGAGCCGGGGGCCAGGGCGTGGGCATCCTGAGGGGGTGCCGTCTGTGGTGGACACGCAGGACTCTTGGTCTGCCTGAGGTATGACCCCTCCCAGCCATGCCTGGTGTGTCATCACCACGGCAACACCGGGAGAGGCAGGCAAACACAGGACAACAGACCAGTCTGGCTCTGCATGTCCCCTGGAGGGGGCAGGACGGTTGGGGAGAAACCCTCTCGGCAGCCTCAAGCCAGCCCTGCCCCACCCGCTGGGCTCGGACCACGCAAAGCACATGGGGGGGCCGGTAGGGGGCTTGGGCAGACAGGGCCAAGTGCCCAGGCCCGGGTTCAGGGTCACCCAGGATTTTGGGGTTTGGGGAGAAAGCAGTTTGGCCTCTCCCACACCCACATTCTGGGAGCTTCCAGGCGACTAGCGCCTTGGGCAGGCGTCCGGCCCCTTTAGGAGGCCTCTGTCTCCTTCCGCTACAAAGGAGGGAGCCCCCTGCCTCTCAGGACACGGGGGCCTCAGGCTCATTCAGGAGTGCTGGGCTGGGCCACCAGGTCCCGGTCTCCGGGGATGCCGGCCTCGGCCTGCCTGGTGGGGGCAGCAGAGCAGTGCGGTCGGTCGGACGCCTCCCTCTCCCCGCTTGGGGGGCCTCCTGCCCCCAGCCCAGCCGGTTTGCTCCACATGGCGCCTTCCCACCACCCCCTCCCCCGGAATGCAGTCCCAGAACACAGGTCTGGAGCGCACACCCAGCCCCCGGGCAGCCCCACCCTCCTTCCGGGCAGCCTGCCCTCCCGGCCCTGGGCAGGGGGGGCTCGGGGCGTTGTCTGATGTCTGAGGTGGAGGCCGTCTTCAGGGTGGGGGCTGTTGGAAACAGCTTGGAGAAGTTATGTCTGTCCCCCACAGAGAAATCGAGTCAAGAGCCGGGTGTGTGGCAGCTCCGTTCCCCTCTCCCTGAGGCCAGGACCCGGCGGGCCTGGCAGCTCAGAGTCCAAGACCCCCACACCCAGGCTTGACCTCAGGAGTCGTGTGTGCAGGACGCCCCCGCCACCCAACCCAGGGCGGCGCTGCCGGTCAGAAAGGCCGTGGGCGGTGGTGGCCACGTTGTCCTTCCCCAGCTTAGCTGTCCACAACCTGAGCCCTCAGCGAGGCCTAAGTTAGGGTCTGAGTGAGAGGGCCAGGGGCCTCAGCCGTCATGGAAACCCGAGCCTTGGCAGCAGCGGCACCCACTCCAAGTTCCGGGGAGCGGGGTGCACGCGGGAGAGCGGCAGGATGTGCTTCCCGAAGGCCCGAAGCCTGCAGGCTGCACTAGGACGGCCCCTCCTGCCGGACCCCTCGCCCCAGCCCTGCAGCTCCAGCCCTGCAGGGCCTCTCTCAGTCACCCCCTCCCAGCCGCGGGTGGGAGGGAGGGAGGGAGCGTGAGCCTGAGCCTCCCCCAGTGAGGCCGCCAGGCCCCTGCCTTCCCGGCCTGGCGTCTGCTTTCTGTGTTAGAGGGATCGAGTTCGCCCCTCCTCGAGGGGCTGGGTCTTATCTCTGGGAAAGAGATTACAGAGTTTCTGACATTAAATTTTCATGCTGAAGTTTTCAGCATGTAGTTTGAAAAGTATTTTTTTCAAATAACACCTGGAGAGGAGGGACGCGGGAGGAAGTCAAGCCTGCTCGCCATAAAACTTTGAACTTGGGGGTGGAGGGACACCCTGTCCGGCACCCCCTCCCCGCTCCGCCACAAGCGTCTCCCGCCCTCCCCCAGTGTGAGTTATTGATTCCGGCCGTGAGAGCCTCCTCCAGCCCCCACCCCCACCCCGGGTCTGCTCCAGCCCAGCCCCCTGCAGCTGCCCTCGGCCTGGCAGTGGGTGCCATGCCGCTGTGCCCCTCCGCCCACCCGCCCGTGGTCCGTTCAGCCCAGGCCCTGCTCTCCCCATTTTGTTCTTTGTTCTGTGCGGGGCTCTGGAAAGCCCTGCACGTGTTTGCTGCAGCCCCGCAGGCCAGCCGTGGGATCCCCGGGAGAGGCCAGCCTCCTGGGCCCAGCCGCTCTGTGCCCAAGGTGGTCCTGGGGTCCGGGGCCCGTGTTGCCATCTGTGGGCCGCAGACTCAGAAGGGCCTGCTCTTTGTGTCCTTTGGTACTTGAAGGGGCCCTCTTGGAAAATCCAGCCTCGAGCTTGTCTGTTGGGTCATTTTGGGGATTTGCAAACACTGGGGCACGAGAAGTCACCTTGCTGACCCTGTCCCACCTCGTTATGTCGCAGCCAGGGTGCTGCGGCACCTGATGGAGCCTGGGAGTCCTGGCGGGCAGAAGGAGCTGAGGGTGGCAGGGGTGGGGCAGGCAGCCGGGCTCCCCCATTGCTTTCCTCCGAGCATCCCCAGCCTCCTGAGCATCCCGATCCGGGCCAAGTCCTGGACTTTGCTCCTCTGCACCCTCACGTCCACCACTCGTCCCTGTCCTCCCGGGGCCCCGGCCTGGCCACAGCCCTGCTTCCTGTCCAGCCCTCCCATCTGTCTTTCCCCAATGCTGTGGCCGCTCCAGCCCATACTTCTCGCCATGCGTGGGTTCAGGAGCCAGCCCCTGCAAGCCTGCCTTAGCCCAAGCCGCCAGCCCGAAGCCAGCCCTTCCACCCAGCGCCCCTCCACCTTCCAGCCACACAGAGGGCCCCCCAGTGCGCCCCTGGAACTCCTCTCTCTTCCACACCATCCACCTCCTGACACTGCCTGGGCTCTGGTCCGGCCCAAAAGAACACAGTGCCACTTTGCGGCTGCCCCGGGCCCTGGCTCGGCTGCCCTGAGCCCTCCAGCGTCCTGCTCCACAGCTGGGGCCTCTCCGGCCCTGCCCTCCACCACCTCACAACACACTTTCCTTGGGGGATATTGCACTCCATCTGCCCACCCGCCGCCCGTGATCTCCCTGGGGCCTGCTCCACGAGGGATGCTCACGAACTGGGTGAGGGGACAGAGGAACCAGGACAGAATGCCCCCGGGGCCAGCCCTCTGCCTTGCACCAGCCACCCAACCTGCCTCGGGCCCAGGTCCACTCCCAATTCCTTCCCCTCACCTGGGATCCCCAACAGACCCCACACCCAGCCTGGCCGGGCCATCCCAACTCTATGGCTCCCAGACATTGCCCGTTCCCTCCTTGGCCCATGACCCTTAGCGGGTGACACGTCAGGACAGAGAGGGCAGCTGAGGGCACAATCCCGGATCTTCCTGCTGCCCACCAGCCCTCCTCTTTCAGGGAAGACCCTCAGGATCTGCCTCTGGGTTCCTCCCCACCTCCTCAGGGACCCTTCTCTGCAGTCTTGGACCAAGGCTGGCAGGCACGTGGGGCCACCCCAGGTGAGCCCTCTCCTCCTTCGCAGTGAGAACTGGGGGCAGAGGAAGGGGGAACAAAGCGGGGACCACACTCAGGTCAGGAGGTCGGGTGCCTCTGTCCACTTTCTTTCTCCCCCTGCTCAGGGTCTTGGAGGAGGTAGGGGAGGTAACAGCCACCTGGGCAGGGCACCGGACGAGGGAGGATGCTAACCTCCAGTGACAGGGCAGTAAGTATCCGGGGCGTGCCCGTCCCCGGATGCCCTGGAAATGGGAGATGGGCCGGCCGTGCCCCGGGCTGGGCAGTGAGTGAAGGCCCCATGCTCCTTCCTGTCCCTCGGGCCTGGCTTGGCCTGTGGGGCTTGGCGGGGCAGCACTTTCTGCAGACTCCAAACACAGCAAGCTCAGCTGGCTAGCTAGTGCCGGACCCACTGCTGGGAGAGGCAGCCAGGGCTCCAGGGCTGCCCCGCACCCCACCTCGTGCCGGGCACCGCCATGTTCCCCTCCTGCACACTGCGCCACAGTGCTGGCCGGCCGTCCCTCCCCTCCTTTGAGACTCCTTCCCCCTTCTCTCGGGTCTCTCACCTCTCCCTGCCCTTCTTCCTCCCCTCGCAGCCCTCCCAGACACCCAGCAAGGAGCAAAATGGCCAGGGCAGCACCCTCTGTTTCCGGAGCAGCTGCAGCAAGGGGTGGTCAACCTGGGGGACCAGGGACCCCAGACCCGCTTGGAGTCCTGTGGGTGGCCGCATTCCCAGGAAGGCTGGATCCGGAGGACCGGCCAACAGGATCGCTCAGGATGGACGTCTTCTACTCAAGTAAGACCTTGGCAGCCTTGGTCGGCTCCATAGTCACCCTACGCTGCCATGTGGGAAGATTCCCATGCGCCAGCTGCAGACCCAAAGTCCAGGCAAGTTGGGGCTTTGAGGGGCACAGAGGGAACCCCCGGTCATACAGTGAAGAGAGCAGCAATGGACGGCCACACAGTACTGCAACATGGTGGGCTCCAGGGCAGACGCCAGGAGCCCAGGACCCGGGGATGGGGCCACTCGCCCGGCTTGGCCACACAGCAGCCCCACCCGGCTCTAAAAGCAAGACCTTCAGGGGCTCCAGGCGAGCTCTGGCCATCCCTGGATGCGGTGTTTCCTCCAGCCCTTCCCATGGCAAGATGCCCTGCTCCCCACCTGGCCCGCCTGCCCTCCCACCTCCCATACCTCCCCCGGCCACCATCTCCGTGGCCCACAGCTCCTCCCAGCCTGGTCTCACCTTTCGACCAGCTTGCTGCAGTTTGAGATGGGACCAGGAAGGAAAGAGAAGGTTCTGGGAGGAGGAGGAGGAGGCTGCCAAGTGGCTGGTGCCAGGGCCGGGCTGGCAGGCGGGAGACTAGGAGAATGGAGACGGATGGGGGACGAGGTAGACATGTGGAGAAATAGAATGGGTTTTGGGAGATGGCAGAGACCAGGAGACGGAGAAGAGCCTGGAGGAAAGGGCCCCACCCCGAGGGAGGAAGGGAGGGCTTGGGGGAAACAGCGCCCGCCCGTTGCACCCCGGAGGCCCAGGAAGGGTGATCCTGATGGAGAGAAGGGGCCGCCCTCGAGAAGAGGCATGCGATCCTGATGGAGAGAAGGGGCTGCCCTCGGGAAGAGGCATGCGGGGAGAGGAAAGGAGAGCTGCACTGCAGAGGGGGCTGTGGGGAGAGGGGCTCTGCCATCCCCTCAGCCAGATGGGTGTCGTCTTCCTGAACATAGAAGGGAACCGGGATGCCATGTTCTAACGCCCGTGTGTTTCCACACATGGCCAGGAGTTCGGGCAGGGCTGGGCTGTGAGCAGGCAGGACTGCCCTCCCGAAGCAGGTGCAGAACGAGCATTTGGGGAAGGAGAAGACACGTGTCCGCACCTGCAGCTGGTGGGGTGGGAGGGTGAGCTGCCTGCAGGGTGGTGGGGGGCAGCCCGGGGGGGCTCCTGAGGATGCACAGCTCCCTCCCAAGGCCAGGGCTCTGGGCACTGGGGTCCAGGAGAGAGTTTTGCTCTGCCCATGGCCAACAGGTAGGTGCCCAGATGCTGTTCTGTGGTGGAGTGAGGGGACCTTATTCCCTGGGGCCCAGAGGATGCCCAGCTCTGCCAAGGGCCTTGAATGACTCCATCAGAGGAGGTCCGGAGCCCCAGGGCCATTCCCTGATTCCTGTCACTTTCCCAGGATGCCCTCCCTCACCGGGTCGGCTCCCAGCTCCCCTTGGAGTGAGGAGGGCTGGACCCCACTGAGTCCATCGCAGACCCCAGCTGGCCGGGCGCATGGCTTCCCGTCTCCTCTCTGGGCTTGGTCCTCTTGTGTGAGGGGTCACGGCCCAGGCACCCATCTCCTCTGGGTTGAGGCTGGAGGGTGTCTCCGGGAAGCCCCTACGAGTGCAAAACCTTGCTGTTGATCTCAAGACCCCGGGCGGAGACGGGAGGAGGAGGGTGGAGGAACGAAGACCAGATTCCTGGAGGACGATTCTGTTGAGCCTCCAATTCCCTGGACTGATTATTTGCTTAAGTCAGAACTCCCGGCCGGATGGGGCTGGGGCCAGGAGATCAGGGAGAGGGTTCTTTCCTGGACAGGTCTGCTTATCCCAAGGGCCAATTAGCAGTAGCAGAGCCTCAGCAGGAGCTTGCTTGTCCTGGGAGCAGGGGTGAGCTTATCTGCTCCGAGGGGTGCCCTGCCGGGCCTCGGGGCCTTGGAGAGGGGCCGGCTCCGTTCTCCGTCTCCTGGAAAGCCAAGGTGGGAGGTAGCATCTGGAATTAGATGCGGTTGAGGATGCTTCCTGACTGGGAGGGGGTTTTGCTCCTCCCTGGGACCACAGCAGGACATTTGAAGCACCAGGATCCCAGCGGGGGCCTGTGGGGAGGCATGGCCATTTCTAAATGAGGCTCTGGGTACCTGGTGGCCCATGGAGCGGGGCTCTGGGAATTGCCTCCTGCGAGCGGCCATTGGAGGGGGAGGTATTACCCCCACCGGTGTCCTCAGCCAGTCCCTCCTGGAGTCCTCAGAGCCCTCAACAGGCTCTCACCTGGCCCTCCGCTGCCAGGGCTGGACCAGAGGCTCTTCAGGAGCTTGTGCTCTTCCGCCCCCAGAGCTCCAGCCTGGACGCCTTGGAACTGGCCGTCCTGAGCTGGACAGCCAAGATGCGATGGTGGCTGTGCTGGGCTCCAGCCCATGGTGGCCTCCAAGGTGGTGCTGGGGCCTTAGGGGAAAGGGTTGCTTTTCATGGCTGGCTGAGGGGATGGCAGAGCTGTCCTCCGTTCCGCCTCCTTTACCCATGGATGCGGCCGCATGCGGGTCTCCATCATTGTCCTATCCTTGACCATCTGGCTAAGACTCAGGGACCCACAGCAGCCGCTCCCCCACTGGCTGTCTGGGAAAAGGCCCACATTGCCGGGCACACACCAGGGTGGCCAGGGATTGGTCACTGCCTGAATGTCCCCGGACCGATGCCCGTGTGCCCTTGGGCAGCCTTCCCCTCGGACAGGCTGTCCAGGCTGGGAAACCCTGAGCCAGAGGGATTAAGAAGAAAGGACAGAGTCGACTGTCCCCTTGGCTAATTTGTGCTTCATTTAGTGTAATTTTGCTCAGTGGTCAAAACATAGAGGTGATGACACCGAGGGTCCAGACATGTCCCATCTCCAGGGCCAACCTCCTGCAGATCCCCAGCCCCGCCCAGCCCTGCCTGCTGCGCCCTGGGCCTGCCTCTGCCCTCACAGCCATCCTGTACATTCCTGTGTCTCAGTGGCGGGGGATAGGGGGTGGGGGAAGGGTCTCCGATACACCAGGGGGTGCAGGGACCCTCAGCATGGGTGCCCAGGCAGCTCTCTATGGAAATGCAGGATTGGGTCAGGACCCCAGAGCTGTGCAGGGCCCTCTGTCCCCAGCCCAAGTCCTGAGTCCCTCTTGCCAGCCTCTGCTGCTCCGCGTGTGGTAGGAGCTACCAGTCTGGGGTCCGGGCTGGGCGCATTCATGATGCCTGCCTGGGGTCTGAGCAAATCCTCCCCACGGGGTCTGAGCAAGTCCTCCCCACGGGGTCTGAGCAAATCCTCCCCACGGGGTCTGAGCATGTCCTCCCCACGGGGTCTGAGCAAATCCTCCCCACGGGGTCTGAGCAAGTCCTCCCCATGGGGCCTGAGCAAATCCTCCCCACGGGGTCTGAGCATGTCCTCCCCACGGGGTCTGAGCAAATCCTCCCCACGGGGTCTGAGCAAATCCTCCCCATGGGGTCTGAGCAAATCCTTCCTATGCCGTCTGAGCAAGTCCTCCCCATGGGTTCTGAGCATGTCCTCCCCACAGGGTCTGAGCAAGTCCTCCCCACGGGGTCTGAGCAAGTCCTCCCCACGGGGTCTGAGCATGTCCTCCCCACGGGGTCTGAGCAAGTCCTCCCCACGGGGTCTGATCATGTCCTCCCCACGGGGTCTGAGCATGTCCTCTCCACGGGGTCTGAGCAAGTCCTCCCCATGGGGTCTGAGCATGTCCTCCCCACGGGGTCTGAGCAAGTCCTCCCCACGGGGTCTATGTCCTCCCCACGGGGTCTGAGCATGTCCTCCCCATGGGTTCTGAGCAAGTCCTCCCCATGGGGTCTGAGCAAGTCCTCCCCACGGGGTCTGAGCAAATCCTCCCCATGGGGTCTGAGCAAATCCTTCCTATGCCGTCTGAGCACATCCTCCCCAAGCTGTGACCGAGTGTCCCTCCTGCAGGTGGAGGATGTTGCTAGGATGCACCTTGAAGGCACCCCAGCCTCGCCGGAGCGCCCCCTCCTCGTAGCCTGGGGTGTGGCTGGGTGGTCTGGGGTCCTGGGTGCCTTGTGATGCTGGCCCCAGGGTCCACTCAGCACCGTCCTGGTGTCGTCATCAGCTGGAGGCTTCCCGGGGCCTGTGCTGGGGGTGGAGAGCAGGGAGAGGCAGCAGGGTTCTCCTCAGGGTGGGGTTGCTGGGAAGCACCATCCCACCTGTCAGACTGGCCTTGACTGTAGACACCCCAGGTGACCTGGAAGGACAGACGGACCCCAGGTGATGAGAAAGGACCAGAGTCTGACCTCTCACCCCTCCTAAGCTCTGAACTCCCGTTGGCTTGCCTGACCTCCAAGTCCTCCTGGGGCTGAACCCTCTACAGATGCCCCTCCTGGGCCCTGGGGTGGGCCCGGTTTAGCTCTCCATTGTGGCTGAAACCCCCAGGGCTTCAGTGCTGGCTTGAAGAGGGGGTGGGGCTCCCCAGGCGTGGGGATTGGCAGTTTTTTCCTCCCCTCTTCCCAAACTTTCAGACTGGACCACTTAAGAATAATGAGGTCCAGGTGGTTCCGCTTGAGCCTGGATCCTCACTGGCTGTGGGACTGAGCTTCCCCTGCCGGTCCCACCTCCCACCGGGAGCAGCTAATGACAGCCAGAGGCTGGAAGGTGAAGCTCCCCTCGGCTGTCAGGCGGGCCGCAGGGCAGGGGCTGGGCAGGCCAAGGGCGCCACTCTCCTGCCCAGGCCAGGGCACCCGATCACTGCACCACACCCCTTGTGGCCGTCTGTCCAGCCAGGGCCCTGCTGCAGGTGCTTCCCGTGGGACTGTAGGGAGAACAATCAAGACTTCTGCCTCCTTGGTCGAGCAGGGCTGCCTCCCCATCTCATCTACTGGCAAGGAGGCTGGGCACCTTCAGGGAGCTTCAGTTTGGGAAGAGGGAGGAGGTCTGAGGTGGATGGTGGCGATGGCTGCGCAGCAGTGAGAATGGACTGAGTGCCACTGATGTGTGTGCTCCATGGCTCCGTGGCTCCGTGGCTCCGTGGCTCAGTGGCTCAATGGCTATAATGGCTAGTTTTGTTACATATTTTCACCATAATAAAACAAAACATGTCCAAGGTGCTACAAGGAGGGAGGAGCCCCTGGAGCACCCGCCTGCCATCTCCCATCTGCCAGGCAGCATCCCTCCACTGGCTCTCTGGGAGGGGTTCCAGGCCTCCAGCCTCCCTGTGGCCCCCATCTGCCTCCAGGAGATTTGTTCCCTCTCTCCTGCCCCGAAACCCTCGAGGCAGCCCTGCTCTTGGTCACTGCAGAGGAAGTGGCCCAGGCTTGGCCCAGGCCAGCTGTGGCCTCTGGAGGCAAGATGTGGGGACTCACAGTGTTCGAAGGCCACACCCCCCCGAGCACATGGGCTCCAGTGCCTCTGAGGCAAAGAGCAGGCAGCACCGTGCGCACAGCAGTGGGAGACACAGCACAGCCACCAGGGCAGCCCCCAGGCAGACGGCGGGCCTAGAGAGGGCGGGATGACACAAGAAAGGTTCTCCTTTGGAGACGGCGAGGTCAGGCAGGTGGGAGAGGGTTCACGGTGCTTGAGGTGCAGAGAGAGGATGGTGGAATGGAAAACGTAGGGTGACTTGTCGGGGACAGGCCCAGGGCCACAACTCGGGCAGGCCTATTGCCCGAGTTTTGGGTCCCATCCTGGCAGGCAGGGGAGAGAATTCTGAATTTTTTAATGAAACGGATAGTTGAGGGCTGGAAAAAAGAAAAAGAAAAGAAAAGAAGTCCCGGCTCGGTGGCTCATACCTGTAATCTCAGCACTTTGGGAGGCCGAGGTGGGTGGATCACCAGAGGTCAGGAGTTCAAGACCAGCCTGACCAACATGGTGAAACCGTGTCTCTACAAAAAATACAAAACTAGCTGGGCGTAGTGGCGCATGTCTGTAATCCCAGCTACTCAGAGGCTGAGGCAGGAGAATCACTTGGACCCAGGAGGCGGAGGTTGCGGTGAGCCGAAATCGAGCCATTGCACTCCAGCCTGGGCAACCAGAGTGAAACTCTGTCTCAAAAAAAAAAAAAGAAAGAAAAAGGTATTGAAACTGGGTGCCAGATAGCTGCATGTCAGGGCCCTGAGGAGGAAGGGGTCAGAGTGGAGGGGGAGAAAGAGCAGGCTGGCCAGGTTGTGGGAGGCTTCCGGCGGGCGGCAGGTGGAGGAACAAAGGCAGGGCCTGGCGATGACGGCCTGAGGGCTAATTGCACAGCTTACTGCTCACCCATGCGGGAAGGCTGTGGCCCCGGGGACCCGCATGTCCTCCAGATCTTCACAACCGGCAATAAAGTGCTGGTTGCTGGTTGCGTAATCACTGACTGATTGAGACCTGCACAGGCGAGGAGATGATGGCTGTCCCTGGAGAGGAGAGGCCTGGGGCCTGCCATCCGGTCTTGCCTCATCACTCCCCACCAGGTGGAGAAGTCCCCGTTATCAGCAGCGAGCCTGCCTGCTGTTCCTAGTCCTCTGGAGCCTGGAGATCATCACTCCTCCTGGACCCAGAGACAGGCGTGGGAGAGGGCGTCACAGCCACCACTGTACGCACCTGGCCAGGGCTGCCCTCGGGCTCTGCCCATCTGTCCTCTCCTGCGTCAGAGCCACCACCTGGCAAACAGCCCCACTGAAGCCCCTTCCGGGAGGGCACCGAGCCCTGGGCAGCACCCCTCCCTCCCGGCAGGCCGGTCTGTGGGACGTGCAGGACGTGCTGCAGCCCAGGGGCTCTGTGGCACTGGCTCGGCCCTGTGCTGGTGCTCTGATGGGTAGGAATCTGGGCCGATACCTTGGTGCCCACACTGCAAGCCAGGTGGCCACAGCACGGCCCAGTGGGCATCCTCAGCACAGCCGGTGGCAGTGGGACTCAAGTGACTGCTGCTGGGGGTCCCATCTGATTCTTTCCAGGGCCAGAGATCAGGGGAGGATGTGGAGCGGGGCTGTGGTGGGGGCCCTGGGTGGCCTCCCCTCGCCACTTTCCCATGACGCCCCTGTAATCGGGGCTCTTACCCCTGGGTCCCCGGTACCTCACAGCTGCCTGGACGCAGCCCCACCCGTGCACAGGCCTGTGGGGAGGCCGCAGCAGTCCTTTCCCATGGCTGGGAGGGGGCCACGGGTGGGGGACAAGGAATTTGAGGAGGAAACAGCAGTGGCCTGAGAATTTAGAAAATGCATCCAACTGCTTGGACTCTTGGGAAGAAGCTGGCAGGAGGATTAGGAGAAGTGGAGGATGATTGCATGGTCCTGGGTGGGCCGTGACTGATGGGGCAGCCGGGGTCTCCAGCATGGGGAGGGGAGCCTTGTCTGTGCCGGGCGAGCAGCTGTCCCCATCCCTCAGCCTGTGTCCCGCTCGCCTCGGCTGCTAACCAGAGACCTCTGATCCCCGGCTGGAGGTGGGAGCGATTCTGGCCCTAGAGCCCCCCCACCTTGCCTGGTGACAGAGACATGGGCCCCTGTGCTGAGCCTGCCATCCTCATCTGCAAAACGGGGTTTGGGAACATGTGTGGAGTGGGTGGGGGACCTTGGAAGCCACCAGTTGCTCCTAGAATCCACAGGCCACGTCTTGCGTCTCAGACCAGCTCCACCTCCTCTGCCCGCCACCCACCTCTGCGGGTCCCGAGTCTCTCCATCCAGTGAAGGAGAGGGCTGAGAGCAGGGGCGTACGTGCCACGAGGGTGTCCACCTGGGAGGGACAGTGCGGCCCCGGGAGCCCTCTGGAGCACAGCTGCCCTGCCTCGGGGCTGGAGCTGGCTGTTAGGTCTGCACAGGCTCCTGGGCCAAGCTTCCTGACTGATCCTGGGGGTAGTCACACAGTTCATCACGGGCATGGGCCTGGGGGAGATGAGCAGCTGTTCCCCACACCGCCCCTCAGTCATGCCCTGCCCAACGGTGGACAGCTTTGCCCCACTTGGCCGGACTGGCCCCTTCTGGCCTTAACTCCTTAACTCTCCCGTGGTTTTCTACCCCTGTCCTGGGGTCCCTGGGCCTAGAGAGATGGCCACCCCTCCCCGTGGACCTAGGAGAGCCCCCAGGGCTCCACTGGCGTTAGGTAAATGGAATCGTGTCCTGGCAGTCCTGTCCCTACCCCAGTGCCCAGTGGAGGCATAACTGGGGATAATGCGATTACAGCTGCTCCCACCAGGGTGATCTGCAGCAGAAGCAGAAAATCACTCCGGCCATGCTCCAGTGGGGACAGGAAGGCTCACCAAGCCCCTGTCCGCCTGGGAAGCTGGGCAATGTGGGTGCAGCTGCTCCATTGGGTAGGGCTGCTGGGCCCCCGGGGGCAAATCGTGAGTTGGATTTCAACCAGGAAAGCAGGTCTTGATGGGGCAGGCAGAGGGGGTGTGGAGTGGCCCCACGGATATCGTTGCCTCGACCCTTGGCTCCTGGCGTTTGCTCAGCTAACTTTGCAGACGAGACGCTGTGTGCAGAGAGACACAGGCGATAAGGATGGGGTCGTTGGCTTCAGGGCACCCCCCAACCCGTGGCCTTCACTGGCCTCATCCCTGTGCCCCCACCGGCCCAGGCTCTGCTCCCTCCATGCCATTGTTTCACTCCTTCTGGAACCTTCTGTGCCTGTGCAATGTGGCCATGCCCTTGTTTTTCCACCATTTAAGAGCTTTCTACACCCACCGAGGAGAGGGGCAGGCATGGCTGTGTGGTGGCCCCCTGGGGCTCCCGCAGCCGCCTCGACCCCTCAGCCTCCTCTGTGGGGTGTAGAAGAGTTCTCTGCACAGGTCCTCAGCTCGGGCAGCCCTGGAAGTGCTGGGCCTTCAGGCACAGGGGAGGGTGGCTCAGGGGCCAGCAGCAGACGTTGGTGCCTGCCCCTGCAGCGGGGTGCCCCATGCTGAGACAGTGCGCAAGAGGGACACTCCGGGCCTCGGTCCGCCCTCCGTGTGGCAAATGAGGTGCTCGGCGGGGCTTCTTAACTCTTCAACCTGGCCTTCCCACGGGTCCCTCTGGACAAGGGATGGCGGGGCGCAGGGGAAGCTGATTCCCAGCCCCACCCCAGCCCGTAGCAGAGTGGTCGTAAGCGTGGGAAATGCCAGCTCCATGCCTCTGCTCCACTATGTTTAACTCAACACAAGGAGCTTCCTGGGCCTTCAATGTCCCAGGACCCACGGCCTTTAGTGATTTGTGGTCTGGGAGACAGGAAGCCGGAGCTCTGGGGCCGAGCTGCAGCCCCTCTCCCTCTGCAGCGCATCCTTGCTCTGAGGGTGGCAGAGGCAGGTCTAGGCCTTGGGGACCTGGGGCCGGGGCCCCCAAGGGGAAGGGAAGGGACCCGTGGGGAGCCCAGGGTGAAGAGTTAAGAAGCCCCGCCAAGCACCTCATTTGCCACATGGAGGGTGGACCGAGGCCCGGAGTGTCCCCCGTGTGTGCTGTCTCAGCATGGGGCACCCCGCTGCAGGGGCAGGCACCAACGTCTGCCGTTGGCCCCTGAGCCGCCCTCCCCTGTGCCTGAAGGGGCGGAGCACCTGCGCAGAGAATTCTTCTGATATCCCGCCCATGGGGAGTTGGTGATGGGACCCCCAGGAGAGGGACTGCGGGGGTGTCCCTGCGCCTTCGGGTGGTCAATGCTGGTGAAGTTCGGCACCCAACTGTGAGCAAAGGAGAGGCCCTTTCCAGGAAGCCCCAGGGGCACTCCAGGGTCGGGAAGGGGCCACAGGGGTCTGGCGAAAGCATGAGGCAAGATTTGGAAACGAGGCTCCAGGGCAGGGTCAGGGCCAGGGTCAGGGGCAGCCCTAGGATGGCTCTGCTGCCACCCAATCAGAGTCTCCTGCCCAGCTCCTGGGCTGTGGGCGGGGGTCGCACAAAGGACCATGGGCAGCCAGGTAGGAACAAGGGTCACCAGGCACTTGGCAGGGGACCGGCCTCTGGGAAATCATCCAGGCCAGGGGCCATGGAGCCGGCTTTCCCCAAGCCCCAGGGACCCAGCCTCTGCCGGGAGGGTCTGGGGGATCAGGGGGCTGAGGACCCTCCACACAGGCTGTGTGGGGCAGGGGCTCGGGCTGGCCCTGCTGAGCTTGGGTGGCTGGAGTCCTCGAGGAGGGCTCCCTGGAGGCAGGGGCGCGGAGAGAGCTGGGGCGGGCCAAGGCAGCCAGCAGCCCACGGCAGGCGGGGGGCCTGACCCGAGCAGCGGCGTTAGGGCTGGCCTGGGGCGCAGCGTGCGCACGGGAGCGCGTGTCTGCTGGACTCCAGCGAGGTGCTGTAGCCAGCTAGCCAAGACAAGCTGTCCCTGCGGGTGTCTGACCGGCGGGGCCCAGGCTGGGGGGGTGGTGGCGGCACCCCACTGGGGACACAGTGAGGCCCGGAACAGAGCCCAGAGCCTGGCTGCCGCGCTCCAACCACAATGGCCGGTGCCTCCCCAGGCTGTACCTCTGGGCCCTGCTCCCACCAGGGCCCTGCCCCCACCAGGGGCTGTGCAGGGTCTGGGAAGGGCACAGCTGTTTGCCTCCCCACATTCCAGACACAGGGTCAAGCAGTGTGGGAGGCTGTTTTTCTTTACAAATGTCATCTGAAAACAAACACTTACTGGCTCTGCCCGGCTGCCCCGACCCCTTGGAGAGTGGGGGCAGGGACCAGGCCTGGCTACCCCCGTCCAGGTGGCTGGGGACTCTTCCAGGCCAGAGTGGCCTTTGACCCTCCTTCGCTGCCCCTGCCACACCAACCAGGCCAGTGTCTTCCCTAGCCAGAAGGCTCTGGCCCCACCCCATTTGCCACCTAGAACTGGGGAAGGACGCACCTGGCCCGGCCAGCGGCCCATGAAGCCGTCTTTCTCCCACGGGCCGTCCCTGGCTCGACCCTGTGCCCAGGGCAGGGTCAGGCCCAGTGGGTCTCTCTGTGGAGGGAGGGGCTGCCTGGGGTATCTGGGGGTGGTGAGGGGGTGTCCCAGCCCCAGCCCTTCCCCAGGCCTCATGTGGGCACCACCCCTCGTTTACGGGCTCTGGGAGCGGGTGGGGCCCCTCCTCCTCCTGAGCTGTAAGGTTTTTCTTCCAGTGGGGTTTGCACAAGGGTCCACGCCCACAGCCTCAGCCCGGAACCTGAAGGCTCTGAGGCTTCCTAGGGGGTTCTGCGGCCTTGCACTGTGGGTCCTCCCAGCTCGGCAGCCCTCTGCTGAGGCAATGTCCTCTTGGAGCAAAAAACAGCCTCCGCACCATTCCTCCCAGGGTGCATCTGAGCCCAGGCCCCAGGACACTATCCCCGGGGGTCCAAGGCGGGTGGGGACCGCCCTCCCGACGAAGCTTCTTTGCGCCCTGCTCACTCTCCTCAGCCCCCAGGTGCACTGGGGGATCCTGCAGGAAGCCTGCGGGCGGGGACTGGGGGGTGTGTTTGGGGCAGCGGTGTCTAGACCCTGGCCTGCCTGAGGGCCGGGAGCTTGGACTTCAGGCCTCAGGAGTCAGGAGAGGGCCACCACGCTCCCTTCCCCTCGCCACAGTGGTCCCAGGCGGGAGGGAGCGGACACGGGCTTTGCGGCACAACCTGGTCCTTGTTCTCTGGCTGGGCTAGGGTCACCTGGAGCTGGTGCCCGTGATATCCGCCTGACGCGGAAGTGGGCACCGTTTTCTGGATGCTCCCTTACTTTCTCAGCGCTGTGTGGAGGGGGAATGCCCCGTGCTTCTCACCCTGTCTTCGCCTGTCCCCACCCCAAGCTCCACTGGGCGGGGAGGAGAGGGGCACCTCCATAGGACTCAGCTATCCCCCCAACTCCCACAGGAACCTCAGGCCCAGAGTCCCCAGGAGGGAGCAGCCGGCAACACGGTTTCCGCTGTGGAGACGGGGCGTCCTGGCTTGAGTTCACTCCTCTCCAGGTGGAGCTGCCGCCGTGAGACCAAGGCCAGGCCCCCCTCGGGCCCCAGGGCTCCGAGGCACTTCCTTGGGTTGGTGTGCTGGATGGAAGTAGGGCTGTATTTCCTAAGACCTGCGGGGCAGACCTGGCCTCTGGAGGTGAGAATTTGCTGGGCCTGTTATGGGTGAAAGAGGAAAACCAGCCTGTGGGGGGCATCTCACAGTCCCCTCTGTCCCTCAGGTAGGATGCGTGGGGCGTGGTGGAGCCACGGGGTAGGGGAACGGGGACCCCCTCAGGTGTGTGGGGGCTGGGAGGTGGGTGCAAGGCCCCCCGTCTCACCGAGAAGGGACTTGGAGAGTGAGATGGTGTCTGAGTTAGGATGGCAGGCTCAGCTGACCTCGTCCCAGAGGCACTCAGCAAGGGCCAGGGACGGCATCCCCGCCGGGCACATGGCAGTTCATCCTCAGAGACACTGTGTATGGGAGGGAGGAGAAGCCCACACCTCTCTGAGGCAAACTTCAGGACGGCCAGGGGCCCCTGAGCACCCCGCCCACCTTTCTCCCGGCGCCCATGTGGGGCGATGCTCTCTGCCCTCCTTTGAGCTCTGCAGTATCCTGGGACGTTGGGCCCTCTGTCCTGCTTGCTCTGTCTGTGCTGGGGAGTGGGCAGGAGTGGACAGAGATCCGCCCTTCTCCAAGAGTCCCAGCCGTGGGAGGCTTCACCTTCCAGAAGGTTCCTCCTGTTTCTCTGTGCCTACTACGAGGCTCATCCTCACACCTGAGGACTGTCTCCTTGCTGGTAGGCTCACCGCGTGGAGGAAAGGGGGCCTCTGGTCACCTTCCCCACAAGCACAGACACGCAGTGTCACAGGGCAGTTGAGACTGTGTTACTGAGCCCAGCGGACAACCTGGGAACACATCCTGGTGTATCACCTTACTGGCTGCAGGAGCTCAGGGACAGCCGTAATCACTCTGTGCCTCAGTTTCCTCGTCTGTAGAACGGGACCAGTTTGCATGAGGCTCCCGGGCAGAGCCTGGAACCCGTGAACCCAAGAGCAGTCGTCATCAGGCCAACGTGCACTCGAGCAGAGATGTCTCCCCAAGTCCAGCTTGCTTCATATCCCCTGCAGTTCTGGTGGTGGGAACCCAGAAGTCAGAACACATCTACCTCCTGGCAGCTGGAGGCCACAGCGCCCCGAGTTTGGGACATGCCCCTCTCTGCATGTCCGTGCCAATTCCTCAAGGCTATCGGCCAGCCCCTCCCACTCAAGGCACCCCATGGAGCCTCCTGGGAGATCTTCAGACCCAGGGCAGGTGGGGGCTGGATCTGCCCTTCCTTCGGTGCCCCAGGTCTGTTATGGGCACGGGCTGTGAGCTGGTGCCAAGGACAGAGGCATCAGGCCAGGCCAAACTGCTGCACACAGCTGGCCACGGGGCCGTTGATCGCAGACAGTCAGGCTTCAGGCTGTCTGACACGGGCCGTCTGCTCCTCCTTGGACAGTTGCAGCACTCAAATGTTAAAACAATTTTTTAAAATAAATTTTTCTACTTTTTTTTTTTTTTGAGACAGGGTGTCACTCTCTTGCCCAGGCTGGAGTGCAGTGGTATGATCATGGCTTGCTGCAGCCTCAACCTCCTGGGCTCACGTGATCCTCTCACCTCAGTCTCCCACATAGCTGGGAATACAGGTGCGCGCCGCCGCACCTGGCTGATATTTGGTAGAGATGGGGTCTCACTATGTTGCCCAGGCTGGTCTCCAACTCCTGGACTCAAGCAATCTGCCCACCTTGGCCTTCTAAAATACTGAGATTACAGGTGTGAGCCACCACACCTGGCCCCAAATAAAACAATTTAAAAAGGAAAAAAGTGTGTGTGTGGCAGGAAGAGGAGGGTGAGGCCCGGAAGGAACTGAAGGAAACAAACTCAAGGAGAACAGCTGGTCCCCACGCCAGCGTCGACGCTCCAAGTCCTTCACCTCGGAGCCGAGCAGGGGCTGGGGGCACGGGGAGCTTGTGGCCTTTCTGGTGAAGTGACTCTTTTCTGGAACTTTCCAAACACCCTCCCCGCCCCCCGCCATGCCCCCCACCGCCTTTCCTTCCTTCTTTCTCACCCGCTTCCTTATTCCTTACTGTTCATCACAGACAAAGTTCCTGGGTAGGAGTGCGGGCAACTGCCGTTTGGGATCCATGGGGGCCTCCCGCCATTGGGCAGCCCCTCTCCCTGGCTTGTGGGGAGGCTCAGGTGAGCCCAGGTCTCCCTCTCCCACCGCATGGGAGTGCAGGATCCACAGGCTGATGGCTGTTTGCCAAAGGATGGGGACATTGGGGCACAGCACGGGGACACTTACTCAGCAGACAGCACCCTGACTGGCAAGATTGAAGAGCTCCCCTTCCTTGCTAAGACTCCCATGAAACACACAGGGGGCTGCTCAGGGGGTGCAGGCGGCAGGAGCGGGGACAGCTCAGAGGTGGGTGTGGCACAGGGTTCATGGCATAAGAGGGGTGGCCTCGGGAGCCAGGGCGGGGGCAGCCTGGAGCCAGCAGCCCTGAGGCCATGCACATCCACAGCATGCTGGCGGTGACAGCCCCGACCCGTGGCAGGGGAGCAGGCTCTGGGCTTGTCTGACCCGTGAGCACCCAGTGGCCTGGTGGCCTCAGCCCTCGTTGCCAGCCTCTTTCTAAGGTCAAGCCTGTGCTCTCCAGCCAGAGAAGGCATGCTGGGCTGGGCTGGGCTGGGGTGGGCAGGGCTGAGCTGGGCAGGGCAGGGCAGGGCTGGGCTGGGCAGGGCTGGGCAGGGCAGGGCAGGGCTGAGCTGGGTAGGGCAGGGATGAGCTGGGCTGGGCAGGGCTGGGAAGGTCAGGGCTGGGAAGGGCAGGGCAGGGCAGGGCAGGGCTGGGCTGGGCTGGGCTGGGCAGGGCAGGACAGGGCTGGGCTGGGTAGGGCAGGGATGAGCTGGGCTGGGCAGGGCTGGGAAGGGCAGGGCTGGGCTGGACTGGGCTGGACTGGGCAGGGCTGGGCAGGGCCGGGTGGAGTGGGCGATGGTGTCCATCCCGCTTAGTGGCTTCCTCTCACAGGAAGTCTGACCACCCTTCAATGCTGGGGGTCTAGGCTGGGCAGGTGGACGTGGGGGTCCATTTCTAGGCTCTAGACCCAAGGCCTTCCTGCTGCTCAGAGGTTCCTAGGCTCAGCAGAGAGGGCGGGGACAGAAGGTCCGAAATTCCATGTCCTTGGGATCCCATCTGCCCGTCCTTCCCGCCCAGCCCAGCCCAGTCTGTCTGCTCCCCAGCCTCCCACGCCCCCCATTGGCGTGCATGAGTGACATGCGTGTCCCGCACACCCTCGGTCCTGTTGTCCATCTCCCCCATCGCCCGCACACCCTCGGTCCTGTTGTCCATCTCCCCCATCGCCCGCACACCCTCGGTCCTGTTGTCCATCTCCCCCGTCGCCCGCCACCCACGCCGTCCCCACTGCCTTAGGCTGGCTGCCCCTTTGGACAGGGGCTTTGTCTACCCAAGTCACAGGACACGTGAAATTCAGCCTTAATTAAGTTGTTGGGTGATGGAGTCCCAGATGTGGGAGGCTCAGCCAGACCCTCTTGGGCTGCCCACCCGGAGAGCGACTGGGGCTGAGAGCCTCGCCTGGGGCCACTGTGCAGCTGCCGCCTCCCGCCTCCCACCTCCCGCAAAGGCCTGGGAGTGGGGCCCAAGGCAGCTGCAGCCCCACAGCCTGGCCTTGACCCTGGGCTGCCCCACAGCCCCCCTGCTGGCTCCGTGCCCACTGGGAAAACAAGCTCCTTATCTCGAATGCTTCCTGTGAACTGCAAACAGCCACGTGTCCCTTGGGAGCCACTCTTGATGAACGTGCCCTCTGTCCCACGACCCAGGGTGAGGCCGTTCACCCTCGGGCTGGGGGCCACCGGGACTGGAGGCTCTAGGCCTGGAATGAGGGGAGGGGACCTGCGGCAGGGCAGAGCCAGGCTGGAGACCACTGCATTGGGAGGGTGAGGAGGGAGAGGAGGGGGCAGGAGGGTTTGGGTCCAAGGCCTGGTTGCACAGGACAGCTGGGGATGGGGGAGAGGGGCACAGGCCAGAAAGGCTGGGGCTGCGGGGGCTAGCTAAGAGGCGAGGGTTCTGGGTGGCAGCAGCAGGCAGGGACCTTCCCGGCGGCCCCAGTGGCTCCCTCCCTCCCAGAACCCTTTCTCCTTCCTTGGGCCTAGAGCTTCCTCCACGTACTTTTCCCCGCCCCCGCCTTTCCCCTCTCTCTCACCCCGCTCAAACATGCTGTGACCTTTCCAGGGCCCCTGGACATCACTCACTGGGTGACAGAGGTTGACAGGCATGGAGCTAAGGAATGGGAGGCAGGGCGGGGGCGGCCAAGCCTCTCCAGCCGCTCCCTTCCCGCTTGCCCCACAGACGGGCCTCCCTGGATGGTCCTGGGTCAGCACACACGCTCCCAGGCGCTTCCTTCCCCAGGAGACAGTCCCCAGCCCCTGGCGGCCCAGATCCTCCTGCTCAGGCCGACGCATCCCACCTGGGCCCCAGAAACCTCTTTGGAAAGGGACAGTCACCTCAGAGTGGCAAGCACTTAAAAGAGACCCCCAACAGGCCGGTGTGTCGTGGTGGCAGGCAGGGTGTGTCTGGAGAGAAGGGGGACGTGTCCCCAGCTGGGCCTGGGGGCGGCTCCGTGGGAAAGTCCCACCTGGTCCCAGCCCCGGGTCTCCAGCCTTCAGACTCCTTGGGGGTCTCTGTGGCCTGGCAGAGGTCGGTGGCCCCTCAGTGGAGGTGAGGCCTCTCCTGGGTCACCACCGCACACCGGCCTGCTGGGAAGCTGGGGTTCTGGGCCACAGCCGGCCCTGGACGTGGAGGGGGGCATCAGGCCAGACCCCCCAGGGGCTCACAGGGCTCTGGGAGGCCCTGGCAACCCCAGGGTGCCCCCAAGCCCTCAGAAGGGTTGTCCCTACTTGGAGGGGACCACACAGCCAGGTGGGCAGGAACAGGCACCACGGCGGCCCTTCCCTGTCCACCCTCTCACCAGTGGCCCGCAGTGCAGTCCAGGAAGCACCGGACAGAGCACGGGGCAGGGAGGGGAGGCCCGTACTGGCTTCACAGAGGTCTGGGAGGGGCTAGCCCCTGTGCAGACAGACCCCTGAAGCCTAGAGCCGCCGGCCCAGCTGAGGTCCTTCCCAGGGGCCATTCTGGGACCCCTGACCCCATGCACCTGTGTCACAGGGCTATGAGCGCCCCCAGCCCCAGGACCTCCACGTTTCTCTCTAGAGGGAAGAGGAGGAGGACGGCAGGCCTGCTGGCCCCACACTTACTGGTTGGGGACGCTCAGAGGGGGCAGCCGCCATGCCGGGAAGTTAGGGTGGGCAGAGGAGCAGCGGTGCCAGGACCCCCAGGCCATGCTGCCACCCCGGACCCTGAACAGTGGGCTAGTGTGTGGGCCTGGGGAGTGAGGGCCCAGGCCGGGCTGGGTCTCGCTCCATAAACCCTGGCTGGCCGGAGCTGCAGACATCACTGTTGACACAGGGGTGATGTCACTGCCGGCCAATGGGGAGACCCTCGGGGGCCCTACGTGTGCCTCTCTGTGCTCCCAGGGCCCCCGCCACGCACGCCGCCTGCTCTGAATGCTGCCTGCATAAACCGGTTTTTCTAAATGTCTTTGGGGCCCTGCTTGCCCCCTGGGCCCCATCTCCTGCTCATCCCACCCCACCCTTGGGCCCAGCCTATGAGCCAAGCGGGAGTGGGGAGTGGCGGAGAGCCCTGGGCCTGCCCGCTCCCACAGGCATGTGGGCCCCAGAGCCCTGACCCCTGCACCTTCACCTCGCCAGCCTCTCTCCCATCTGCCACGACCCCAGCTGCCACCATGGCTCCCCACAGTCACCCCTGGGCCGTCTCTTCCTCCTGTCGGGAGAATGTTCCTCCTGGGAGAGCCTGAGGCCCCCTCTCTGCTCCTTGCTCCCCCGTCTGTCTCCCCTGCCCTGCCTTGCAGCCCTGCCCTGGGTCCATATGCTCAGAGCTGGCTACATATCCTGTGGCTGCCCATGACACATAGCTCCCCCAGGCAGGGCCGGACCCCGGGCACCTCTTTGCCTCCAGGGCCGGCCCCACTCTGTTGGAGGTCAGCCGGTTCCGAGGCCTCCAAGCCGCCTTTCTACTTCTCGATTCCAGGGCCTGGTCTCCACTCCCTCTGGGCTTTGGGGTGCATGCTGCAGTGCAGCCTCCCCGCGCCCCGGCCTCCATGCACCCTGCTCGTGCTGCCTCAGAGGCTTGGCATCTCCCCCATCTTCCAGCCAGGCAGCCAGTTTTCTGCAACGTGGGGCCCACGGTCAGCGTCCCCCACAGCCCTGCCAGCCCTTCTCCCCGGGGGTCCGCCCTGCACCCCCTTCCCAGGAGCTTGCTCTGCACCCACTGCTGGGCCTCCTGGCCTAGGGGCTTGGCACGTGCCTGTGAGCAGAGGCGCTGGGCAGGAGGAGGAGGAGGAGCCTGCAGTGCCTGGCGCCCGTGTGTGTTTACTGGTCCGGCCCCAGCCCCGCGCCGCTCCCCGCGGACCCGGCCTCCCGCCTGTGTCCAGCCAGGTGTTGGGTGATGGAGCGGGGCTCCCTAAGGACAAGGAGCACAGTGTCTGCTTTCTTTGCAAGCACAGTGCTGACAAGGAACAGAATACCCACAGCGACTGCTTCCAGGAAACGGCTGCAGGGCGGGCGGGAGCCTCTGCGAGAGCAGCCCCTTCCCAGCAAGCCGGCCTGCAGGTGGGCTTCCAGGAAGGGGCCCCCGCTGGCTTCCCTCAGCCCTGGAAGGGGGCCAACGGTGTCACCAGGAGCAGGCCAGGGAGCGGGGTAGAGGGGGGAGAAAGAGAAAGGAGAGGCGCGGAGGAGGGAAGGAGGGACGGGGCGCAGGCCTATGCTATGCCTAGTGTGGTTACCACAGCCTTAAGGGAGAGCAAGGCTGACCACAGCTCCTTCTCGAACCTTCCAATCCCCCTTTTGAGAAGTCACAAGATCTCCACTCAGGTCTTTGGCTCTCTGGGGCTTGTCAGGCATCACACACACACACACACACACACACACACACACACACACCCGTGCACACCCATCTGAAAACACAAGCAAGCTGGGCCACTGGGGGAGACCATTCCCTGAGACCCAGCCGGGGTCCAGGTTGAGGGGCTGACCTCCTGGCCCCCATGTTGGGAGGGCCGAGGAGGGCCCCCGCCCGGACCCACTGCGCCCTTGGCTCTGAGTGCTCAGATCCCACCCCCATCTCTAGAGAGGAGGAAATCATTTATCTTCCTGGGAGCTCGGGGTCGGGGAGAGGGGGCTGCCCTCCTTGAGTCCCCGACTGTTTTCTTTGAGACTTCCCAGGGTGCATTGTAGTCAGACCCAAAACATCGCTTTGTCCCTGTTGAAGGGACTTCACTTCCTTCGTAGAGTTGGGATTTTCTGTCTCCATTCGGTGGTATACCAAGTGCCTGCCTCCCACACCCAGCTGCCCCTAATCCCTGCCTGAAAACGTGCTCCTGGGTCACGGAATTCATGCTGAGACACAGCCACACACAGCCAGGCTCAGGGGTCCACCCTCCAGGGAACACCACCCCGCTACAGGGCCACGATCACACACACACCCCGCGGAGCATCTCCGGGCCGGACAGGACCCACGCCCTCCACAGCCCGGAAAGGCGGGTTAACTGGTCAGCATGCAGAGACCCACCAAGTGGAGACCCCGCTCCCAGGCACAGACGCACAGCTGTGGATGCACGTCCTCGGTGACAAGGTAGCTGAGGTCGCGTGCCCCGGGTGTGTACGGCCCACAGAGCCACAGGGGACTCGCCAGGAGATGCGTGCACCGAGGGTCCAGCGTGGCCACAGCAGCAGCACGCGCCTCAAGTCCTCTTCTCTAACTGGATGACTTGGTCTTCACTCAACCTAAACGTGCCGCAGAAACTTGGGTGGGTGGAGGGTCTGGGTGTGAAGACCTCGGTGCCTAACAGGGTCTGGGACGTGGCCAGAAGCCAGGGCACCCTCAGGGTCTCCCTGAACGGTGGAAGTTCCTCCCTCCCCAGATTTCCTGGCACCTTTGCAGGCAGCCACAACCCTCACCCCGGCCCCGCCACCCCCATGTTGGGGTTTGGGAGTGAAATTCCAGCCCGTTTGCTTCTCCGCACTGAAGTCAGTGCAGGGGCGTTTTCAAAGTGCCTTTGGGTGTTGGGGTGCCTGGAGCCTGTCTAACAACCCTCTCTAAGCCCCTTTTCTAAAAAGCAGGAAATCGGGTTGGGCCAAAGATAAACACACATTCCAACCTGGCAGGTCGCTCAGAGCTAGGGGCTCGGGCGGGCTCCCAGCCCCCGCCCCGGGGTGCGGCAGGAGGCTCCGAGGCTGAGCACCTGCTGCGGGGCCCCCGGGCCTGTGGCTCCCCGCCTGCCCGCCTCACCCTGAGGTTCAGCCCCCTGAACGCTGCCCCCACCACCTCCCTGTTTCAGGGCCTGTGGCCCAGACCCCCTCCAGCACTCAGGGGCTGCCCTAGGGACACCACCCCAGGAACTGCCCTAGGAAGCCCGTTCCGCTGCAGGGAGCAGAGAAACCTGGGCTGCCCAGAGGTAGGCGCTGCCCCTGAGTACACGTCCTGCTCTCAGGGGGCAGCCAGCGTGGGCACAGCCATGGGCAGTGCTGGGAGATGGTGGGGGCCACCAAGAGGCCTGTGTCCCTTCCCCAGCGGGTGTGAGGAGGAACAGCCCTGTCCCCATACAGCTCCCAGGTGGAAACTCCAGAGCAAGCGTGTCATTCATACACCCCGGGCCCAGAGATGTGGACGTGTCCAGCACGCCTGTTCTCTCCAAGTGACCAGGAGGAGACAATCCCTAGGAGCTGACACAGGTGACGAAGGCCCGAGGTGGCCCGCCTTTTCCCCCGGCCCCATTCCCATGTGTCCTTCCCCAGGCAGGGATTTGAAGTGGGCAGAGTCTTCCATGTTCTCCAGGAGAGGTTTTCTGGGTGCCCCTCTCCCCCTCCCTACGGTTCCCCTGCCCCGCCACCCTGGGCACCCCTGGGGCTGCCTGCCGCACCCTGCAGCCGCCACCTGGGGAAGCCGGCTTTTATCTCCTGAGCCCTGCTTTGTAAACCTCCTGCAGAGTTGGATGTTTATAATAAAGGCCGTTTATAGACCTAACTCTTGACATGTAATGGATGGGTTACTTCATCCTGCCGGCCAAAACCCACTTGGGTAAGTCAAATTGGCCTGTAGGGTCAGGAAGATGAATGCGGCCTCACCCTGGGCTGGCCCCAGCGACCTCTGACCTCCTCCATGAGATGGCAGCCAGTCCCAGGGGCACCATCCCAGAGACTTCAAGAGACTCCCTCACCGGATGTCTACATGCATCCTGGGGGGTGACCACCCGCCCAGGTTTTAGCACACAAGTGTGTCCCTGGAAACCCCTCGGTCTCTGACAGTCCCCAGGGCCCACAGCTGGATGGGGAGGGGGCAAGAGAGGGTGCAGAGGGGAGGCCAGACCCAAGGGACGTGGGGAACCACCCTGCTCTTCCGCCCTGGACACCAAGACCCCAAGGGCGGCTGGGCCGGTAGGGGAGGGGCGTCCCTAACCGCCTTCCTGTCTGTTCTTTGTCAGTCGGGGAGGAATTTTCCTGACAGCTCTGTGCACTGGGAATGGGGGTGGAAGGCAGGGGGGAGGGGGGAAGGAATGGGGAGGCCGGGACCCCACCCTTATTTCCAGGGGCTGCCCCTTGTGTTCCCAGCGCCTGCACAGCGAGGGGCCGGGAGCTGGGAGGCCTGGCTGAGGGAGCTGCCGGCCACTGGCCTCTGCGGGGAAGCTGACCCGGAACCCATGAGTGGGCTGCCTTGGCACCTGGGGAGCGAACCCCTGCATACCGGGGTTCTTGGAGCTCCAGCAGCAAGACCCCGGGGAGGGAGCCCGGGAGCCCCTCACCCTGGGCCCTCCCGCTCCTCCTCACCTCCTCCCTGTGGCCACCCTCAACTTCTTCCTCCCTCCTCCTGGTCCCCTGGCCTCCTTAGGACCTCTGCCCCAAGGCCACCTGCCCACTGAGAAGCCCACCGGCTCCCCCACAACCCCCTGGCTCCTTGTGCGGGGCCGTCCCTCCGGCGTGGCCCCGGCTCCCACCCACAGCAAAAGGGGAGCAGGAACGGGACTGGCGCGGGGTTCGTGCCCCTGTCGGGGTGGGGTCGCCCAGAGCACCTTGTGGGCCTCCCAGAGCGGCCATGGCCAGCTCTACCCCAGTCACCTAGCCCGGGCTTCAGGGGTCTGGGGCCAGCACCAAGGCGTCATTCTGATGGGACTTTGGGGCGACAGGAGGCACTCGCTCGGGGATGGTTTGGTGGTCCCCGACCCCTGCCTCAGAGCGCAGGCCCCCTCCGCAAGCCCAGCCCCCGCCCAGTCTGTGAAGCCCCTGGTCCCACAGCCCCTCCACTGCCATCACTGCATGCTGACCGCCTGCCCTGCACCCCTGAGGTCCACACACCCTGTGCTCACCCCACCCCTGGTGTGTGCTGCGCTGCACCCATCCCAGAATCCCCCACCCTGGAACCCCCATCCCCCTTTTCATGTACTCCTCCCCATGCCCCCCAGCCCCCCTCTGCCCAAGGCTGGCCTCCCCCACATCATGCCCACAGCCCGGATTCCAGAGTCCTCGAGACAAATTGCTGTAACAGTGTTTATTGATGATGAGTCCAGGGCTCCTGCTGAAGCCCTGGTGGGGAGGGGCACAGAGCGAGATGGGGCGTAATGGAATGCTTGAAGGCTGCTCCGTGATGTCGGTCGGAGCTTCCAGACTAGGCGAGGGCAGGGTGAGGCCTCGGGCACACAGCCGGCGCCCAGTCACCCGGCCCAGATGGAGGGCGGCCGGGCCCTGCACAGGCACTTGCCAAGGTGGCTCACACTCACGCACACTCGTACTGAGACTCAAGGCCGTCTCCACAACTCCAACCAGTGCAAATGACTTAGTGCAAATTAAATTCAGAAGGGACGGGGGAAACAGAGTCGTGGAGGCTTTGAATCTCTCAGAAAAAAGGAAAGACAGGAAAGCTCAGAAACAAAGAGACAGAAGGATGAAAAAGAAGAAGAGGGAGGTGGTGGGGACGGCGTCATCCCGCTGGAGGAGCTCAGCTCTGGGATGATGTGGTGGCTGGTGGTCAACCGTCCGCCGCAGGGGGTGGCCATGAAGATGGAGTCGCCGGTGCGGGGTGGGTGCTGCGGGCGCTGCTGTTCCGATGGTGTCTTTGATGTTGGGCTGATGAGGTCTGGTTCCTCTAGCTTCACCTAGAGATAGCGACACGTGGGTGGGATGGGGGCAGGGTGCTCGGGGGCCTGGAGGCTTCCGGAAGGAGCGCTGGTGCTCACCTTCCAGAGCCGATTCCTGAGTCAGGTAGTGCAGTGGTTGTAAAGTGCAGCATATTCATTTCCAAGCTAGAGGGTTTTGTGTCCGGATTCAAAGGCCCAGGCTTGAGCTGGGTAGCACCATTTCTGTGGATGGGGAAGGAGTGAGGTCCCACTCAGCTCCTCTCGCGTGCCCCCCACCCCAAGTGTGGCAGGAAGCCCCTCACCTTTCATGTTGTGGGTTCTGGGAGCCCAGAGGGCAGCCATAGTGTGCCGACTCCGTGGAGGAAGTAAAGAAACAGACCCGCTTCTTGCCGCAGCCCCACCAGCCTAAGGTGTTCTGTAGAAGACAGAGGTCGGGGCAGTGAGATGGTGGCCCGGCGGGGCGGTCTGGGCAGGGCC
Organism: Homo sapiens; assembly: GCF_000001405.40. NCBI lineage: Eukaryota > Metazoa > Chordata > Mammalia > Primates > Hominidae > Homo > Homo sapiens. The sequence goes on from NW_021160004.1 coordinate 188,776, forward strand.
GCGTCCTGACGCAGGGAGGGCAGACACGCTCACCAGGAAGGCCGGACGCGCCTCCTCTGTCCTCGCCGTCACACCGGACCATGTCATGTCCTGCTTGTCACGTCCACCGGACCTGGCGTCTTGGCCTTCGGCAGCTGGTGGGCACGTCCACCCCAGCTGGAGACCTGGCTGTGGGGAGAACGAGAGAGTCGTGTGGGGAGAACGTGTTGGTTGTGTGGGGAGGGGCGGGTGGGGGCTGAGGGTGGCAGAGGGGGAAAAACTCACCCTCGTCTCCAGCCCGAACGCTGAGGCACCGATCCCGGCTCCGTCGCCGCCCGCGAGGCCCGCCTTGGCCACGGGCTCTGGAGGCCAGTGCCTCCCGCTCGCCGCCCGCTGCGCTCCTCACCCCTGCCTGCACCATCCTCCCTCCTGAGAGCTCATTCACTCCGCCCCGCCCGCCTCGCCTAGTCTGGTCTCGCCCCATGCCCTTGACTCCCCTGGATGCTGTACTGTCTGCCAAGCCAGCCCCAGGGGCTGAGCGGTGAGGGCATACAGCGTCACCAAGTCCACTGTGGGCCCTCTCCGCACCAGACCCTGGGCCGCAGTGCCTCGTGGGACCGGCGCCCGCAGGCCGAGCCCCTGCAGCCTCCTTGCTGCGCAATGTCCCGGGGCCCCCCTCCCGTGGCCGCTTCGCCCTCCTGGTGACGTCCTGCTGCAACTCCCCGAGCACTGCCTGTCTTCCCGCTCTCCAGCCCTCGAGGCTCCGGCATAGGCCTGAGAAAGCCGTGCCGGAGCTGCCCCTGTGCCTGCTACTAAATGAATTGCGGTGGGTGAGGTGGCAGCTGGGGACCCCTCTGTCCTGTGTCCCCTGCCATGTCCCTGTCTGACCCAGGCCTGGGGTACCACCCCACGTGCTGGACCCTACGCTGGCCACCCCTGTGCTCCCTCCCTGCCCTCTTGCTCTTTCTGCCTGGAACGGGCCCATAACCCCCCAGCCTTGCGCAGTCTCGGCTCCCCCCGAGAAGATGTCACCTTTGCTAACTCTCCTGCCCCCATCCTGCCCCTCTGCTGGGAGGGTGTCTGCTTCTCCCCGCCAGCCCTCGATCCCCTAAACCTCCTTCTTTCAGAAGGCTGGGGAAGCGAGGCCTGGGGAGGGAAGGGACTCACCTGCCCGGCAGATGGGGTCCTCACCTGCCCGCTGCTGCCAGCTACACCTCCGTTGCCCAGGCCCTGGGATCAAACCCTGCCCACCAGCTCCCCTCGTCCAACCAGCTGCCACGTCCTGTAACCAAAAGTGACCGGGATGAATGCCTGGCTCCCCCTTCTTTCCAGCCCTAGCTCAGGCCCATCGTCCCCAGCTGATGTCGCCCTGTCTGCACGATGCCTGGGCGCCTACTCCACACTCCTCACTGGCCTCAGGCCCCACCAGCCCTGCCTCGAGCTAGCCCCTCCACCCGTCATCACTCCTGCCAGACTCCAGATGTCCAAGGTGCTCCTTGGCTCCCACAAGCTCTCCTCCAGCACCCCATCTTCCCCTGGTTGCCCCTCGGTTCCCCACTTCCCCAGTTTCCCCCGTTACCCCCCACCCATCCCACCCCCTCCCTCACCCTGCTCCTCGGTCCTAGCCCGGGCTTTTTCTAACTGGGGTGGCCCCGCCCAGAATTCCCGCCCCTGCCCTGCCGGCCAATCAGAGCAGGGCCCTCCCGAGGGCCCCCGCAGGGCCCACCTCCGCCCTGGACAGTTCCAGCACACGTCTCTCTCACCCAGCACCCATCCTGGAATTCTCCAAAGACGGCCTCCCCGCACCCCTCCTTTGGCATCCGGAGACAGGGCTGAGCATTGCCCCATCACCTCCCTCAGGGTCCAGGACTTCTCCCTCCCAGACCACTGTCTCCCCTCAGGGGACACCATGCCTGCTGCTCCCTGCCTGCCAGCGCCCTGCACATACTTTGCACATGGCTGGGGGCCAGCTGCGGGTCCCTGGGGACTCGGATGGCACAGAGGGCCCCTTCCTGCCACCATCACGGCTCAGACCTCACGTTCCTGGAGAGTAGGGGTGGGGTGCTGAGGGGCAGAGGGAAGTGCCGCAAACCCCCTGGTGGGCGCGGTGCCAGCCCCCCAGGCCGATTCCCATCCAGTTGACCGAGCTTGTGCTGGTCACCGCGGTTTCCGCAGGACAGAGTCCCCACAGCCGCTGGGCACCCCGGTCCCATTCGCGGCCACTTTCCTGTCTGAAGACCGCATGTTGCCGGGCTGTGCTTACGGCTCGCGGGCGCACTCTACTGACAAGCGGTGGGCGGCCTCACAGACTCTCCCAGGCCCGCGTGGGGCACCACGGTTGGGAGTGGAGTGGAGACTGGCGAGTTTCGACTCCCCCAGCCACCCCGCTGTGGGTCCGTCGGTCACCACCTTGGCCTTTGGTGAGGGTTGTTGGGGCCCTGCAGTCCCTGGGGTTCACCTCAAGTCTCGAGTGTCAAAGCCGTGAAGGGGAGCACCAGGGCCAAGGGACCCAGAGTTCACGGGTCCAATCACCCAGCAGGCCCTCTGGGATGTGGAAGGGCTGGCCGCGCCTTCGGCAAACCCTCTGTTCCCATGGCCCCACCGGAAAGGGCTGAGTGCTTGCCTGCTGAGCACTGACCGCCGGGCTTTGTCGTGCGTGAACCCCACGACATGGGGGAATTTCCATGGCATGAAAATTCTCAGGCTTTTCCATGAGTGGACCCCCAAGTTAGGAGACCAAGGCAGACCCCCACATTTTGCTAAAAGTGGAGTCCAGCCTTGGGTCACCTTCAGACTGTGATGTGAGTCACCACTGCCGCCTCTCGGCCATTTCCGTCTCCACAGCCACAACCGATTCTGTGCCATCGCTGGGAGATGGGCTCACTGGGGACAGCACCCAAGACCCAAGGGGAGACTCAGGAAATACTCCGGAAATACAAATGCTCCAGGCAAGGCGGCTCCCCAGGCCCCTCGCTCCTGCTCCAGGCATTGTGGGAGGGGCTAGCACAGGATCCGGTCGTGCTGCCAGCAATGCGCAGGCACGGGGAACACCTGTGGGCAAATTCACCTCTCCACGTGCCAACTACCGCCGGCCGGACGTGATGATCCCTGAGCGTGGAGCACACCCGAGCCATCGAACATCCTAACCCCATCAGGATCCCCACCCCGTACCGAGTCCACAAGCCGCAGGGTGTCTGCTGCACCCACGATAATGGATTATCTCCAGCAACACAAGGATCCTGGACCAGAGAATAAAGCAGCAGTGGCGCTCCCAGCTCTTTAGCATCTTAAGCTCCTGAATTAGCACCTCAAACCTGCATTGAATGAGAATGTTAATGTCTGGCCACTTAGGGCTGAGGAGATCAGAGTGTTCACTGGGGAGGCAATTGTCAGTTCAGTAAAAGGCTGGGGATTTGGGGGCTGTCCTTAGACGGAGTCGGAGCTGTGCTCTGGGATAGATGTGGAAAATGTAAGATTTTGGTGGAACACACTGTGATCATCACATAAGTAGGCGTGACTTGAGTCCCAGGCCATGACACTGAAGCCCTCGGAGTGTGACCCGGGGCCACGGGGCTGTGGATAATGCCCGACCTGAAGATCTGGTGCGGCTCCCATGAGTGTCCTATTCCCAGATGACCCCCGTGAACCCTGCGACGCGTGGCTTGGGTGACCCGGGACGTTTCCACGGGCGAACCCCAGTTGGGGCGGGCTCGGGCTGTGATGTGTGAGCCTGCACTGCCGCCGCGCGGCCACTTCCGATTCCACAACTACAACCAATTCCGTGCCATCCAGGCGGTGAGACCGAAGGAGAAGCCTCCAGAAATACCCATGTGCTATGCAAGAGCCCCCGGGCTCTGTGCCTGCCAGAGACCCTGCGAGAAGGGTTTCACACTAGGGCCGAGATCCCCATCATCCATGGAACTGGGACACCTCATTGTTCCCCTAGTATCTCCTCCCATCTCCCCAACCTTCAACAGTGCACCCTGGGGTGAATCAGACACGTAGCCCGATATGGCTCCCATGAGTGTCCTATACCTCACGACCCCTGTGAACCCTGTGGCGCCCGGCTTGGATGACCTGGGATGTTTCCACGGGCGAACCCCAGCTGGGGCGGGCTCAGGCTGTGATGTGTGAGCCTGCACTGCCGCCGCGCAGCCACCTCCGATTCCACAACTACAACCAATTCTGTGCCATCCGGGCGGTGAGACTGAAGGGGAAGCCTCCAGAAATACACATGTGCTATGCAAGAGCCCCCGGGCTCTGTGCCTGCCAGAGACCCTGCAAGAAGGATCTCACCCTGAGGCCAAGATCCCCATCATCCAAAGAATGGGGACACTTCATTGTCCCCCAAGTATCTCCTCTCATCTCCCCAACCCTCAATAGTGCACCCTGGGGTGAATCAGACACATAGCCCGATGTGGCTCCCATGAATGTCCTATCCCTGATGACCCCCGTGAACCCTGCGGCGCCTGGCTTGCGGGACCCGGGACGTTTCCGCGGGCGAACCCCAGCTGGGGCGGGCTCGGGCTGTGATGTGTGAGCCTGCACTGCCGCCACGCGGCCACTTCCGATTCCACAGCTACAACCAATTCTGCACCATCCGGGTGGTGAGACTGAAGGGGAAGCCTCCAGAAATATTCATGTGCTATGCAAGAGCCCCTGGGCTCTTGAGCCTGCCAGAGACCCTGTGGGAGGGGTCTCACGCTGAGGCCGAGATCCCCATCATCCAAAGAATGGGGACACTTCACTGTCCCCCAAGTATCTCCTCTCATCTCCCCAACCTTCAACAGTGCACCCTGGGGTGAATCAGGCACGTAGCCCGATGTGGCTCGTACAAGGGTCCTACCCCCGATGACCCTCGCGAACCAATGCGGTGCCTGGCCTGTTGACCCGGGATGTTTCTGCAGGCAAACCACAGGTAGCCGGGCTCGGGCTATGACGCCTGAGCCTGCCCTGCTACCACGTGGCCACCTGTGTTTCCATACCTTCAACTGATTCCGTGGCATCTGGGCAGCGAGACTCCAGGAACACTGTGCGCTCTGCTTGGCAGGCTCCCAGGATCCCTGTTCCTGCCAAAGGCCTTGTGGGAAACGATTCCCTCTGGAGCATGCGCTTGAGTCCTTGGGTCCCAGTCATGATCACCTCAGAACACAGGGATCCCTCATTTTGGAAGTCTCTGCTCTCCTGTCCCAGCTTCAGTGCCTGACCCAGGTGATACGGGGCCATGGTCCTCTGATGAGGTCCTTGAGTCTGATTCCAGCAGCACAGAGCCTCCAGGGCAGAGCCGAGGTGAGGCTCTGGAAAATGCACTGTCAGGCTCACACAAGCACATGTTGGCCAGATGTACAGATTCCACAGCACAAGGCAGGCAATTGGGCACAGACCGCACAGTGCACAAACACCATTGATCCCCATCCTTTATCGATTCCACAAACCGCGGGATGTCTGCTGCACCCACATTAGCAGATTATCTCAGCCAACACAAGGATCCTAGACCCCAGAATAAAGCAGCAGTGGCACTCCCAGCTCTTTAGCATCTCAAGCTCCTAAATTAGCATCTCAAACCTGCACTGAATGGGAATGTTAATGTCTGGCCACTTAAGATTGACAAGCTCAGAGTGTTCACTGGGGAGGCAATTGTCAGTTCAGAAAAAGGCTCGGGATTTGGGGGCTGTCCTTAGTCGGATCTGTGCTCTGGGATGGATGTGGAAAGTATAAGCTTTTGGCGGAATTTGCTGTGCTCATCACGCGGGTAGGCGTGACTTGAGTCCCAGGCCATGACACTGAAGCCCTCAGAGTGTGACCTGGGGCCACGCGGCCGTGGATATGGCCCGATACGAAGACGTGGTGTGGCTCCCATGAGCGTCCTATTCCCAGAAGACCTCCGAGAACCCTGCGGCACCTGGCTTGGGTGACCCAGGACGTTTCCGCGGGCGAACCCCATCCAGGGAGGGCTTGGGCTGTGATGTGTGAGCCTGCACTGCCGCCGCGCGGCCACTTTTGAGTCCACACTTACAACCGATTCTGTGCCATCCGGGTGGTGAGACAGAAGGGGAAGCGTCCACAAATACCCATGTGCTACGCAAGAGCCCCCAGTTTCTGTGCCTGCCAGAGACCCTGTGGGAGGGGCCTCACGCTGAGGCCGAGATCCCCATCATCCAAAGAATGGGGACACCTCATTGTCACCAAAGTATCTCATCTCCCCAACCCTCAATAGTGCACCCTGGGGTGAATCAGACACGTAGCCCAATGTGGCTCCCATGAGTGTTCTATCCCTCACTACCCCCGTGAACCTTGCGGCACCTAGCTTGCGTGACCCGGGACGTTTCCGCGGGTGAACCTCAGCTGGGGCGGGCTTGAGCTGTGATGTGGGAGCCTGCACTGCCGCCGCGCGGCCACTTCCGATTCCACAACTACAACCGATTCTGCACCATCGGGGCGGTGAGACCGAAGGGGAAGCCTCCAGAAATACACATGTGCTATGCAAGAGCCCCCAGGCTCTGTGCCTGCCAGAGACCCTGTAGGAGGGGTCTCACGCTTAGGCCGAGATCCCTATCATCCAAGGAACTGGGACACCTCATTGTCCCCCAAGCATCTCCTCCAATCTCCCCAACCTTCAACAATGCACCCTGGGGTGAATCAAACACATAGCCCGATGTTAGTCGCATGAGTGTCTATCTCTGACAACCCTCGGGAACCAATGCGGCACCTGGCCTGGGAGACCTGGGACGTTTCTGTGGGTGAACCCCAGCCAGGCGTGCTCGGGCTGTGATGTGTGAGCCTGCACTGCCGCCGCGCGGCCACTTCTGATTCCACACGTACAGCCGATTCTGCGCCATCAGGGCAGTGAGACGGGCCTCCCTTGGTGAGGTCAGCAAGATGGGCCGCCCTCGGTGAGGCTGGCATCCAAGACTGAATGGGAAGCCTCCAGAAATACCTGTGCGCTGTGCTTGGCAGGCTCCCACGATCCCTGTTCCTGCTGGAGGCCCTGTTGGGAGGGTCTCCCTCTGGACCTTGGGCTCAAGTTCTTTGGGGTCCAAGTCATGACCACTGCAGAACAGAGATTTCTCTTTGCCTCCAAGTATCCACTGTCCTACGTGCTATGGGAGCTGTCATCGGTGGTGTCCCTGGGATTAGGCTCCCAGCCATGCATGGGCTCCTAGACAGCCCCAGGGTTCTCCCATTGGGAAATGCCGCTCTACTACACATCAGCCACAGCGCATTAATGCTTGGTTCTCCTGGTGAAACCGCCTCTGCAAAAATTATTACAGAAAATCGGCCGGCGGTGGTGGCTCATGCCTGTAATCCCAGCAGTTTGGGAGGCCGAGGTGGGTGGATCACCTGAGGTCAGGAGTTCAAGACCAACCTGGCCAACCTGACGAAATCCCATCTCTACTAAAAATACAAAAATTAGCTGGGCATGGTGGTGGGCGCCTGTAATCCCAGCTACTTGGGAGGCTGAGGCAGGAGAATCACTGGAACTCCGGAGGTGGAGGTTGCAGTGAGCCAAGATCGAGCCATTGGACTCCAGCCTGGATGATAAGAGCGAAACTCTGTCTCAAAAAAAAAAAAATATATAACAGAAAATTATGACAATGAAAGAGATCTGACGTAACCAACTCTGTCTTGCCTTCTTATTCATTTCTGGGTGCAGGCTGGACTAACTTTGGGAAGAACTTAGTTTATAGTTTATCTTTGAAACAAAGACAATAACAGCCCTTTCCCAGGACAGACCCTCTTCCTGCCTGGGGACTAGACTTTCAGGACTAACAAATTAGCCACAGATTAGAAATTATGGTTTAGGAGTCATGGAGTCACACATCTGGAGGCTGAAAGATTTTTAACCTCCTCAAATTGCTCCTAGGATTACATCACTGTTGCAGAACCTAAGATCAGTGGTTGAGATATTTCGCAGACCCTGTACTGGGTGGATCAGCTGGCACCCCCCAGATTGATAAACTGGCTCATCTAGTCTTGTGGCCCCCACCCAGGAACTGACTCAGCAGAAAAAGATGGCTTTGACTCTCCATGATTTCATCTCTGACCCAACCAATCAGCACTCCCTATTGACTCGCCCCCTACCCACCAAATGATCCTTAAAAACTTTGATCCCCAAATTTCCTGGGAGACTGATTTGAGTAATAATAAAACTCTGGTCTCCTGCACGGCCGACTCTGTGTGAATTAAACTTTATTGCAAGTCACCTGTTGTGATAAAGCAGCTCTGTCCAGACCGGCGGCAGGGAGAACCTGTTGGGCGGTTAGACGGGTTCAGACACTACTCTCCTGGGGGTGATGGACATCTCTTCTGTTCACTGATTCCCGGAGGAAGATTTGGGAGATTTTGCCTGGGAGCAGGCAAACACCTCGGGCTATTTGCTTTCTAATGGGGCATTTGCATGTGTATAGGACAGACCGGGAGCTGCCCAGTTTCTGCTTCCAGGCGCACCTGCTAAGAGTAGTCTTGCCAGTGAAGCGACTGCTGGGGTACAGCAGCACAGCACAGGGGACCTAGTTTTTTTTTGTTTGTTTTTTTGTTTTTTGAGTCTCGCTCTGTCCCCTAGGCTGGAGTGCAGTGGCATGATCTCGGCTCACTGCAGGCTCCGCCTCCCGGGTTCACACCATTCTCCTGCCTCAGCCTCCCAAGTAGGTGGGACTACAGGCGCCCACCACCTCACCCGGCTAATTTTTTGTATTTTTAGTAGAGATGGGGTTTCACCGTGTTAGCCAGGTTGGTCTCGATCTCCTCATCTTGTGATCCGCCCGCCTCAGCCTCCCAAAGTGCTGGGATTACAGGCGTGAGCCACCGCACCCAGCAGGGGACCTAGTTTTGAGGACTACTGGGGTCGGGTCTGGTCTGTGCTGGCCACGGTAATGGTGAGTGCCTGGGTGCTATGATCCACACACAGGGTGGCACCAACATGAAAGTGGCCAGAGCCCCAGCCAAGGTGCCCAGAGCACTTGGGTGGGGATGTGGGCACAGCGCTGTCACCTGGAGGCAGATGTGGGCACAGTGATGTCACATGGACAGGTATATAACCACAGTGATGTCACCAAGACAGGACGTGGGCACAGTGCTGTCACCGGGATAAAGATGTGGGCACGGTGCTGTCATCTAGATAGACACATGAGCACTGTGTGTCACCTGGATAGGGATATGGCACAGTGTCACCCGGATAGGGACATGGCACAGCGTGTCACCTGGATAGGGACACAGGTATAGCGTGTCACCTGGGTGGGACATGGGCATAGCACATCACCTGGGTGGGACACGGGTACGGCACGTCACCTGGATAGGGACACGGGTACGGCACGTCACCCGGGTGGGACACGGGTACGGCACGTCACCCGGGTGGGACACGGGTACGGCACGTCACCCGGGTGGGACACGGGTACGGCACGTCACCCGGGTGGGACACGGGTACGGCACGTCACCCGGGTGGGACACGGGTACGGCACGTCACCCGGGTGGGACACGGGTACGGCACGTCACCCGGGTGGGACACGGGTACGGCACGTCACCTGGATAGGGACACGGGTACGGCACATCATGCGGGTGGGACATGAGTACAGCGTGTCATTAGATAGAGGGGCTTTCTCTTCTCTCTCCCCTGTGGCTGGGACCTACCCAGATATAAGTAATGGGATAGCCCACTTGGGCTTTGCCAGTTCCCTGAGGCTGCCATAAGGAAGCCCCAGAAACTGGGCTGATTGGAACAACCACGTGGAATGCGTCTCTCCCTGTTTCGATGCTAGAAGGTCAGAGTCGGGGTGGTCAGGGCTGGCTCCTTCTTCGAGCTCTAAGGGAGGCTCCAGTGCTGGCCGACTTTCCCAGTGTTCCCAGGCTCCCAGACCTGTCACCCCAGCCGTGCCCATCTTCCAGGATGCTCTCATCCTGCGCCTTCACGCAGCGTTGCTCTCTCGTGCCTCTCCTCTACCTGTGAGGACACCATGATGTTTGATTCAGGGCCTGCCCTACTGCAGTCTGACCTGATCGATTGCGTCTATAATGACCCTATTTCCAAATGAGTTCGTGCTCTGAGATGCTGGTGGTCAGGGCTTCAACTTGTCTTTTCTGGAGAGGCACTAAACAGACTCCATGAGGAACTGAGGAGTCCAGAGCAGTGAGATGGAAGGAGGCTGGGCCCTGACCCTGGGAGCTGGCGATCTTCACACTCATGACCCTCTCATGTCTCTCTCCGTGACAGAGAAAAGCCAGCTCTGGGCCCATTCAGGATCGTCCTGGGGTTTCCTGGCTGTGGCAGCTGTACCTCCCTCTCACCTGTGCCCACCACTCCAGAGCCGGTGTGTGGGCTCACGCTGGTGGCTGAGTCCTGACCGTGGGGTAACCAAGGGGGAGGCATGAAGATGAGGTCCCGAGAGGAGACACAGGACCGTTCTCCTGATGTGAGCAGGGGTGAGCACAGTCTCATAGGACTGTGTCCTTATAGGAAGAGGAGAGGAGGACACAGACACACACGGAGGGATGACCCCGTGAGGACATGTGGAGAAGGCAGGATCTATAAGCCAAGGAGAGAGGCCTTGGAGGACCCAGCTCTGCAGCAGCCCTGATCTTGGACTCCAGCCTCCAGGACTGGGAGAGGATATATTTCCCTCATTTAAGCCTCCCGGTCCATGGCGGTTTGTTGCGGCAGCCCTGGCAGACTCACCCGGCTGCAACGTGACCAGTGGGTGGAAGCGGCCACCACATTGGCATCTGCTGGGGTGCTGCCTGGGTGCTGCTGCTGCGCATGCCTGGTGTCACCGTCCCTGGCTCAGCCTGCTGGCCCTGGGCCCTAAGCCTGCAGCTCCTCTGGGTCCTGGGCCATGGGTGTCTGTGGCCCCCTGGTGAGGGGTGCTTGCTCCTCCGGATGTCCCCTGTGTTTTGGGATTGGAGGGGTTTGATTCCTGGGGCTGCTGTGACAGTGATCACAGACTGGGTGGCTTTAGCCATAGGAATGGACTCTCTCACAGCTCTGGAGCCCAGAGGTTCACCACCCAGGGGAGGGCAGGGCCGCCCTCTTTCGCAAGGCCCTAGCGTGGCCCCTCCTTGCCCCTTCTGGCTTCTGGGGGCTCCAGGTGTCCTGTGGTGTGTGGCTGCGTTGCTCCAGTCTCTGCCTCTGTCTTCACACGGCCTCCTCCACTGTGTGTCTGTCTCTGTGTGCAAATTTCCCTCTTGTTACAAGGACGACACTCATTGAATGGATGCTTCCCCCCGCCTCAATTCAGTGTGACTTTGTCTTTATTTGGTTGCACCCACAAAAGCCCTTGTCCACAGAAGACCCCACTCACAGGTCCTGGGTGGACATGAATTTCCGGGGACACTCACAGGTCCTGGGTGGACATGAATTTCCGGGGACACTCACAGGTCCTGGGTGGACATGAATTTCCAGGGAACATTATTCAGTGCAGCATAAAGTGGTAAGAGACAGATGTAGGGCACTGGACTGTCCACGTGGGTTCACGTGTGGCCTCGTGAAGTCCAGGTGGCCCTTGCCCCTTCCCACTTCTTGCCCATCTTCTTTCCTGACCACCTGTCCTGCTGGCTTCAGGCCCAGCCCCAGAGCCGGGCAGTAGCGTCTCACAGACAGCCTGGAGCTCCATCTTGGCAGAAGGTCCGATCCCTTCCAACAAAGCCCCTGCCCTTTGACCGTGAGGAGGTGGTGCTTCTCTGATTGAATCCTGACAGAGCCACTTCATCTCAGGGATCACAAAATGGAGCAAAATAAGATGTTCAGCCCAAGAAGGAATGGAGCGAGATGTCACGAGGCTGACGGTTTGACCCATGACTCTGTCTGCTGCCATTTCCTTGACGTCGGTGCACTGACCCAGCCGCAGCTGCCTCTGCGGCACCCGTGCATGCCACTTACAGGGACGCGGTAACAGTCTTTTCCCCACTCCGTGCTCCCTTTGCAAGGAAGCTTCACCTCTGTTCATGCCAGGAGGATGGATCTATTTCCCCTCCCCTGAAATCTGGGTGCATTTTGACCAATAAAATGCAGTGGGATGTTGCTCTGGGACTTCAAAGCTGACCGTTAAGAAGCCTTAGTTTTTTTTCCCCATGAAAAGCCACGTACGGCTCTCACTGTCATGAGAATGCCATGCTGTGAGGAAGCCCAAGCTAGCCGTGTGGAGAGAGTTCCTAGAAAGGGCACCAGAGTGCCAGATTCGGAGGGCAAGGCTACTTGGACCGACCGGCTGAGCCCAGCTTCTGGTGGATGGCAGCCGCATGGCGGAGCCTGGCCGGTCACCCACGGGCAGAAGATGTACCCAGCTAAGCTCTGCCCCGAATCCTGGCTTGCAGAGCTGTGAGAGCTCACGTCACGGCTCTTTTAAGTCACTGGCTTGGGAGTAGTTGCTCATCCAGCAAGGACTGGTGAGAAGCCCGAGCCCCTCCACTTCTCTGAGCCTCACTTTTCTGCACCAGGGAGTTCCCCTGGGAATCAGCCACAAAATATCAGGGAAGCCGGCGTTCACGCAACTCCTCACCGGCTGGCTGAGGGAAAGGAGACGGGGTTGGGACTCACCTCCAGGGCAGGTAGAAGAGAGACAGTCCTGGGGAAATCCAGGTGTGGAGTTTTAGTGAGGCTGGTCCTGGCTGTCACCCACGTTGAGGACGTTGTGCATGGTGTGGGCTGGGCCTGCTGTGGGGTTTCCCCTCTGGCCTGAGCTCACGGTGTGGTGCAGCCTGGCGAGCTCTTAGCTGCTCAGAGTTCAGAGTTGGAAAGGGGCAGGATTGAGGCAGCCTGCCATGGTGGGCCCCAGAATACACACATGGGAGGCTCTGGGGGGTCCCTGCGGAGCAGCTCTGGCTCATCCTGTGCCCGCTGACACCCAGCCTGTGCCTGCCTGTGCCCCTGGACCTCTGGGTGTGTCTGAGGGCCTTGGCCTGTCTTTGGAGGCCTGGAGTTTTAATGGGGCCGGTCCTGGCTGTCAGTCACATTGAGGATGTCATGCATGGTGTTGGTGACTTGCCATCTTGGCAACACACAGCTGGCTCCTGGCCTCTCTGCTGTCGACCCCGCAGCCCTCTCCCCAGCCTCTGCTGACCCTACAGCCCTCCTCCCCACCCGGTCTCTGCCGGCCTCCCCCACCAGCACATCTCGGCCTGGTGCCCCTGCTGCCGGCCATCCAGGGCCTGTGGATCCAGCTCTTCCTTTTGGGGTGAAGACTGTCACCTTCTGCCACGAGCCCTGTGTTCTCACTCAAGGACCCCACTGGTTTGTGAGGTGTCTGTTGGGCTGGACACAGTTGCTGCTTCCAAGCTGGGAACGCAGTGTCCCTGGGCCTCTGTCCCTTCCAGCCTTGTTTTCTGCTGGTCTTCTCTTTGGGATCTCTCTCTCTCTCTCTCTCGTTGTCTGTGCTAACAGTTCTTAGAGACTCTCTTCAGGGGACTTCTCCTCCTCCTGACTCTGAAGTCCTCCTGTATCCCCACTTTCCTGCCCCTGCTTCCTTAGGCTCACGCTGACATCAGCAAGGTGGCCCCAGGACACCCTCTCCAGGGCTGCCTTCTCGTCTCTCCCAAAACACTCACAGCCTCCCAGAGCCAGACCCTCCCCCCTCAAAGACAAGCCATGCTGTCTTCAGGTCCTCTTTCTCCCACTCGTGGACAGGCCCCAGCCAGGCTGGTCCGGGCCATCTTCTTCCCCAGGACCCCCATCCTCCACCCACAGGAGTGGCCACTATCTGGAATCTCAGCACGCCAATGCCAGTGGGATCTGAGCCAGGAAGGCTGGAGAAGTCTCTCGGTAGGAAAGGTGGCTGGCCCTCCTCTTCCTCGCCAGGCTCCTAGGGGTCGTGAGTAGAGGGATGTGGACAGAGGGGACAAATGGCCCAGACTTTGTCTGGGGCTCACAGTGCGGTCCCAGAGAACAGGCACCACGTGGGAGGGGTGTACATGTCGGAGTGGCTTCGTGAAGGCCAGGGCAGGGGCTTGGGCAGGACATGCCCTGCGGAGGAGAGCCCCTTGCTCCCTGCTTGGTGAGAAAGGGCTATCTGACCAGGTGGGGTTTTAAGCCCTTGACCGTGGGTCTGGTTCATAGCAGGAGCTCGAGGGATATTTGTTGGATAAATGAAAGGATCAGTAGATGAGCAAGTGGACTGACTAAGGCTTAGAGAAAGGAGGACGTGGCCTGGGCTTTTCAAGGCACAGAGGACGCCTTCCTGGTCCAGATTCAAGAGGGAGCGAGGGCCTCCTTCCTCCCTCCACGCCAATCGTTCCTGGCCCCTTCCAGAATCATCTGGAAGCTAATCCTTTAGAAAACAAATATTTCAGACATCTCAACAACACAGGCCCTCCAAGTGGGGCCTGAGCAGATGGGCTGGGGCCTGGAAACTATCCCACACCCCCAGACGCTGGAGCCCACCACACCGCCCCAGCAACGTCCGCGGGGGACGCAGACCTCGGCCAGGAAAGTGTCAGAGCCGCCGGCCACCTGCCTGGGCCCCCGCTCCTGGGCCCTGTCCATTCCCCTTGGCAGCTTGAGCCATGGACAGGACATTCCTGAAGGCTGAGGCTGCACATTGGGGGGTTTGGGGCTGGAAAGGCCGGGGCAAGGTCCACAGTCACCCGCGGCTGGGCCGTGCGGCTGCCTCTCCTGCCTCCCTCCCTCCCCATGTGCACCTTCCCGCGTGGGGCTGGCCAGGAAATGGGGCATTTGTCTCTGTGGCCCTTCCTGCTGTCTGTGCCGGGCTGCCCATCTGGTCTTTACCACTAGGTCCCTTTCTGCCCAGCATCCACTGCACATGGTTCAGGCTGGCCACCAAGGCTGCACTCAGAGTCTCAGGGACTGGGTCAACATGGCCCCCTGTGGTGGGGTTGCCTCCTGCTCGCCAGGCTCTGGGGAGCAGCTGCGCTTGGCACCCAACTGCTCCCGGTGGAGCCCTTTTTCCCACCCAGCCCAGAAGCTCCCTGAGCACGGAGACTGTCTTCTTTGGACCTCTTCTATCCCCAGCAGCAGACCTGGGCCCTGTCCCGGAACTCGGAGCCCAGCACATAGGGGCACCCAGCGATGGGCCGAGAGCGTTCATGAGCCCCGAGTGGGGCCAGCCCCGCCTGAAAAGGCCATCATCACGGAGACAGGAGCAGGGCTGGCAGAGAGACGAGGACAAGGGCTTGGAGGTGGGAGGTGGGTGCTGCCGCCGGGACCAGTGAGGGCCAGTGAGGACCACTCTCTCTGCACGTGTCCTCCGGCCCTGTGCATGGAGCCCGGCCCACTCACTGGGAGCGGAAGTGATTGCATTGTTCTCAGATTTGGTCCGTAACAGTCTCCAGAAGGATCCTCTACGTTCTCCTCCCTCTACCCCCAGCAGCTTCAGGAGTGCCGAGCCACAAGGCTGCAGGAGCCTGGGTCCCCAGTCGCCTGGAGGAGACCCTGCCCACACCATACTCAGACCACCCTCCCAGAATGGTGACTGTGCAGAGATGCACGCATGTCGGCTGCACCCCGCCATCTTGGGGTGAGTACAGTGAGGGAGGACCACACGGGGGGCAGGAGGGAAGGGGGACACCTCTCCACACAGGAGCGCCTGCCCTGTCCTGACACACGTGCTGCCCTGGGGACAAATCATTTCCTCGCTCCCAACCCTAGTGTCTCTGTCCATAAATAGGGGTGGGGGCAGAGCCACACTTTAGTGCTTTCCAATGCTGCGTGCTGCAGGCAAACACAGCGTGCACTCAGATTAAACTCAGGGAGACTTCCCTCCATGGAGATGGGGTGTGGCAGGTGCAGGCTGGTAGAGGGAGGGTGGCTGTGGGAGGAAGGTCCCGGCCTGTGTGGCCCTGCTGGTCTGGCAGAGGGAGGGCGGCTATGGGGAGGACCCTGAGGGTGGAAGGTCCCAGACTTTGTGGCCCTGCTGGTCTGGGGAGGAGCTCGTTCACAGGCAGAGGCTGCGTCCCCACCTTGGACCGTGGACCTTGACCCGGACTGGCCGGCAGGACCCTCCCCTTGAGGGGATGTGAGAGGGGGTGACGGAAGGGGTTGAGGTGGCCCTGGGGAGGGGCTCACGGTGTGTGGAGCCAACAGTCTCCGTCTTGACGAACATGCAGGCCCTGTCCTTTCCCTCACCCCTCAGGGTACATATTTCCAGAAAGAAATCACTTCCAATTCCAAGGGCTCCATGGAGGCGGATTTTTCCATCTGGGCTTTTCTGATGAGTTTTCTTGGAGGAAACTTCTGCGTTAACTCACTTCCCTCCTCTGTGCCTCATGCGGGGACAATTAGGGGAGGCAGGGAGACCTGAAGCCCGGAGCCGGCCGCCGGGAACCCGTTTGTCCGTGCGCGCTCGGAAACCTGGAGGCAGCTCCCCAGTTCCTGTCTCTTCCCCGGGCGGGTCCCCACCTGGCCTGTGGCGTGACTGTGAGTCAGGGGTCTGGATCCTCCGAGGCCCGCAGGATCCGGGTGGATGGGCCACGTCTCTGCACGTGCAGCCTCTCCTGGGTCCCCTCTCACATCCGGCTCTGGCTGGGCCATTTCCCACGCTGTGGCTTCCAACCGCTCAGCCCGACTGCATCTGCACCGTTGCTGGCCGAGGGGAGGCTGCCTCTGCCTTCCCAGCCAGGACCCTGGGCCCCCTGTGTGTTTCTGGACCTCACTCTTGGCGGCCACCCGCGCCCTCACCCACATTCTCCCTCCGTGGCCTCGTGGCCTGGTACACTTGGGCTCTGGGCTGCTGTTTCCAGGACCCATGGGACAGGTGGCCTGGCTGCCCAGAGCCACGCTCCCCGGGCCCTTCTCCCCTCCTGCCCTTCTTCCCAGCAACCTGCAGATGGTTGGTGTTCCCTTCACCTGTGCCTGCCTGGCCTTCTCCTGGCCCCACGGTGAGGCTTCTGGGAGCACGAACTGCTAAGGGCTGCACTGTGTCTCTGCCCAGGCACGGAAGTCCTGACCCCACAACCTCAGAATGGGCCTGTCTAGAGGTGGATCTTTAAGGAGGTACCAAGTTAAGATGGAATCATTAGGATGACCCTGAGCCCATCCAACTGGTGTTTCTATAAGCGGAGATCAGAGCACAGACGCTGACAGGGCAACAGCCACGTGAGGACACAGGGAGATGGCGGGGTCTGCAAGCCCAGGAAAGAGGCCTCAGGAGGAACCCGCCCCGCGGCACCTTGACCTCGGACTCTCTCTCTCACGCTGTGGTACTTTCTGACAGCAGTCCAAGAAGACTGAACTCGTCACCTCCCGCTCCGTTTCCCACCACCTCTGGCCTGCCTGGCCTGTTTCCTCCAGCCTCCCACCCCTCCTTGTCAGCCAGTTGAAAATGCCCCTTTTCCCAGGACTGGTCTCTCCATGGGCACCCCTGACCTCCATAGGGAGTCCCACTGTGCCTCGCTTTGGGGGTAATCAAGATTGCCCCTCAGCCTCTCAGGCCCCTCCCTGCTCTTGGGTGCTGGATGCCCTGGGGACCCTTCACCAAGTCGCCCTGCTGTGGCTCTAGCTGGGCATGAACAGGTGCTGTCTCCAGAGCCCGAGGTCCTCAGAGGGGCCAGGCCCTCTGTCGTGGGAACAAGGACCCTAAGGCCCGGGAGGGGAGCGGCACACGGAGAACAGGCTGGGGACCTGGGCGTGAGCAGCTGGGCATGAGCCCTGCCCGCTTTGTCCCCTGGGGAGCCTGGCCTGGGAAGCATTAGCTTGGCCAGAGTCTCCCTGATGGGATTGGAAGCCCAGCCCTGCCTGGGAAGGCGCCTGTGGGCTGATGGGGATGGGGTGGCCGGGGCCCTGGGCTTCCAGGATGCGTGAAGCTCCTGCCCACACAGGGAGTCAGGTTCCTGTCCTGTGCACCTGGATGCTCCGGGAAGGACTGCCTTGGGGTCTGGCCACGAACTCCACTGGCTCCAGCTGTGCAGCCCCGCAGAAGGTGCTGCAGCACCCGCCCTGCCCAACACAGGCGCGGCTCTGGGGTCCGGCGTGGGCAGGGGATCTGGCATGGACCCATCCTCTTGAGGGCCTCTGGCGTGGTGGGTGGCAGGCTGGGGAGAGGGCTGCTGCCCTCCTTCTGGGCCTCCCAGCCCTGCAAGGGTGGCCTGGAAGGCGGGCAGTGCACTCTGGCCTGAGGGCCCGTGGGAGCCAGTCCTCTTTAGAAGGGCCCCCTCCATCCCCACCCATCAGCATTCATGGCCCTAGTACCAGGGAAGGAGGCCCAGGCCATGGGACCCCTGGACCAACCAACCCAGCCAGTTCTGGAGCTACCCGGGGCACCCGAAGAGTACGTCCCTCTGTTCCCAGGAGCCCCACTTTAGGGCCGTTTCCTGGGCTGACTCCCTGGCCTGCAAGCCCCCAGGTTGCTTACTAAGCCCAAACCCCCACCCATGCCACTGACCGCCCCTGCTCTCTGTTATCCAAAGCCCTCAGCTCCCTGTGCCCTCTGGGACACGGGGCCTCCTCCCTACAAGGAAAGCTGGGTCCCAAGCGCGACCCTGGCCTCTCCATCCTGCCCCCTGGCCACCCACCCCCTCGCCCTGTTTCTCTGTCCTGCAGGACTTCCTCTGGCTTTATTGTTTTAAGTTGGTGGTTGGGCCAACAGCCAGCTTCAATTACACTCCTCGCCTCCTCCTCCTCCTCCTCCTCCTCCTCCTCCTCCTCCTCCACCTCTTCCAGCCCTTCTCTGCCCTAGGCCCAGGGGTGGGCCTTGGGCTACAGCTGACTGTGGTACCCAGGCAAAACAGCCCTAGGAAAATGATAACAGAAAATAATAAAAATTATTTTTCTCTCTCTCTGTCTCCTTCTCCTCCCCCACCTTCCCCTCCCATCATAAAACAAGGAATTTATTTTTCGCGTGGCGCTCTGGGTCGCAGGCAACCACTCCGGTTTTCCCGCTGCGCTGAGCAGGCTGGCGGAGTTCTTGGGTTGATTTTGGGGATGGGAGGTGGGGAGTTGGGGGGGGCAGGGGAGCGTGTTTGTTTTCCATTGCTTTTGCAAAAAAAGGGGAGGGGAGAGAGGGCCTGTGCGGAGGCTGAAGCCACACTGGGGCCCTCTCACTCTCGCTGTCTGCAGAGAGCCAGGAAGAAGGATCAGAGGCGAGAGAGGGGCCGGGGATGGGGCCAGGGACAGAGCCGCTCCCCCTTCGGTTCCCTTTTCCCTTTTGGGTCTGAGGTTAAACAGAGGGCAGCCGGGGCCCGCGACCTCTGCCCTCTGACATCTTTGAACTCAAAAGTCTTTGATGTTTTAACATGCCTCCCCAAACCACAGCCAGGGCACCCTCTCCCAGAGCGTCAGCGACTGCCGAGGGGTGGGTCTGGGCAATGCCCCTCCCGCAGGGCTGGGATCTCCAGGCTCAGGCGGGAGTGAGGCCCCCTAGAACTGCCCTTCGTCCAGCGAGGGGCCATCTCCCTCAGCAGAAGCCCCGTCTTCCCCCTCTTCCCTCCCTGCTGTCTGCTGTCCCTGAGGCCCACACCTTGGTCCCGGAGCCCTGTCTGTAAGCCCCGCCCGTGCAGCCTTCTGGGGGCTGCCTCCCCTCTGGACCTTCAGGTGCGGAGAGGCCTGAGCCGGGAGGGCACACCTGCCTTTCTCTCCTGCCACTCCGCAGGAGCCACTTCTGCCCATCCCAGAACCAGCCCTCAGGGCAGGCTTGGTGCCACCGCTGTGCTGGGTGTGCACGATGCCCGTGGGCCGCCGGCTCCCCTCCGTGCTAATGCCACCCTCCAAAGCCATGGCTTCCTCTCGAGCCTTGGGTGTCCAGCAGCCTGACCAGACAGAGGCCTCCTCAGCCCCGCACCGAAGGAGGATGGAGGGGCCGGGCCGGCTCCTGTCGGTTGCCCGTGCTGGCCGACCCTCCGCTCCCACTGCAGGATGCGGGGGCAGCTCCTGCTCAGCTGTCCACAGGCTCTGGCGGGGGTGGAGGTCTCTCAAGGGGCCTGGGCGACGATGGAGACCCATCTCCCTCTGCTTCTGTGTCTCTGCCTTGGCCCTGGACCTTGCAGGGACCCCCATGTGCTCACTCAACCTCATCCCAGAAGCAGAGCCGGGCCAGTGCCCACTGGGGACACCCACAGTTACACAGAGTGTGTGGACCTCCAGGGCAGGTCCCCATGAGATGGGCACTCTGTTTCCATGCCGGGTGGGAGGAGGGGTCCTGGAGAAGTCAGGGGCCGAACCTGCGCCCAGACCCTCATCCCCTACTCCACCCACCCTGTACCCCCTCTTTCTCTCCACACTCTCCTTTTCTCTTCTGTTCTCCCCGTGCTCTCAACCCTGCCCCCTGCCCTGCAGCCTCTTCCTGTCCACCCTGGTCAGGGTATCTCTGGGGGTCCTCCGGGCTTCCCCAGCCTCCCCTGCATGCGTGCTGGTGTGGGGTAGGTTCCAGGTCCCAGCACGGCCCCGCCATGGCCAGAGGGCCCCAGGTAGGAGACGCCCGGGACGCCCTGAGCCAGGAGACAGGGCCAGGCTGTGGATCGGGTGGCGGGGCCCTGGTGGGTGGGCAGGGGGCTGGGGAGAGACCCAGGGACGCCAGCATGGCCCCTGCACCTGGCCCCTCCCCACCCAATACTCCAGCCTTGGCCGGGTTTCTGAGGGGCATTGTTATTAATATTATTATTGCAGCCGCTGCAAAAACACAGCTCTAAGCCCCTCGAGTGATTTATTTAGCGCACAGTCTAATTGATCAGGGCCAACTTTCCACGTGGTGGGGGAGGCAGCGCCTCGGCCTCCAGGAATCTTTGGTCTAGGGGGTCAGCTGCCTGCTGGGTGCCTCTGGGCAGACACTAAAGACTCGGCCGCACCCACCCCCACCTGAGGCTCCCTTGTGAGGCAGCACCCACCCAAAGGGAGGCCCTGGTCTGTGGGGAGAGGCGGCCCCTAGCGAGACCGACCAGAGGCCGGGACAGCCACTGCGCCTCTGAAGCTGGGCCTGCCGCCCCCGTGGCCCAAGGGCTGGTGCTGTGAGTCTGGCTGGTGCTGTGAGTCTGGCTGGGGAGGGAAGATGCAGGGCCCTGGGCCCGGGGTGCCTGGACTCCTACTCCCAGGCCCACGCTCTGTGTGTGAGGAGTCAGGACTCGGGATCTGTAAAGGCCCTGGAGGGACAGCCCTGGAGGGACGGCCCTGGAGGGACAGCCCTGGAGACCTGGTGACCTCTGTGCTGCCTGGGGTTTGGGGAGCATGGCCCACACCAGCAGCCCCCGCCACGTGACCCTCGATTCAGCCCTTCTGCATGCTGTGCATTCAGTGATCTGGGCATCTTTGGACAGTGCCATGGTGGATGATTAGGCCTGGGCACCCTGTTCCACCCAGTGCCTGTTTGCTGCTCCTGGGAGGGCAGTCCTCTCTCCTTGCCTCTTGGGTTACAAGGCAGTCTCCACTGAGAGCCGCCTCCCTTCCCTGCCCATACCCCCGTGGGGTCTGGGGGTGTCTCCTGCCCTCTTCTCCTGGACCAGGTGAAGGGCTGAGGGGGAAGGGGAGCCAGGCGGGGGCATGGGAGTGGTAGGGGGTGCCCTGGCTGCCGTGGGCTGGTGCATCCCTCCCCGGGCTCTCGCAGGGACCCCCCGCCCTCCAGCAGTGTTAGAGACATTCCTTTGCTCCCTCAGTGTGCTGGGGCACCTGCTTTGAGATAGTGCTAATTCGCAGGGGGCACTGAGCACAGACCCCCAGAAGCACGCTGGCTTGGCCTCCCCAGGCAACCGAAGTCCATACCAGGGGCCACAGCTGCCCCTGGGGTGTCTAGACCTCAGCCAGCCGCCTGGGTGAAGCCCCTGCCTCCTGTGCTTCAGGAGAGGTTGCCCAGGAACCCCCAACCTCCAGTCCCCTCACAGCTACCGGAATCCAAAGAAGCAAGAGAGTCCAGATAGGAGAGAAGTTTGGACTCCATTCTGGGGAGCCTGGGCGGGGGAGCTCTGTGAAGGAGCCGCAGGGTGAGCCAAGGCCAGGGTCCTCACCAGGGTGTCTGGGCCAGGGCTGCCCTCCCATTCCAAGCTCCGAGGGTGGAGGGTGAGCCCCTGGCAGTTTTGCTGCCCCTGGCCCCAGACCTGCCTGCTCCAGCACCCCTCGCCTGGCAGACCAGGGCTCAGGGAGGGGAGGCTGCACCCGCCTCAGGCAGAGTAGGGGCACAGGATGCTGATTTCTGAATCGGCAGCTGAGGCTGTTCCAAGCATCAGGGGCTCCCAGCAGGGCTGAAGAGAGGGGCTTGGAGGTGGATTCGGCCCCTACTTGGATCTGGAGTGCAGGCTAGTGGGGGTGCAGAAGGCCTAAGGGGTGAGGGGCTGCTCAGAGACGGCTGGTGTCACACACCTGAGAGAGGTGAGATGGGCAAGGAGGGGGAGGTGGGGGAGGAGAGGCGCAGCGGCGTGGGGGCAGGCACCCGAGAGATGGCAGGCCTGGGCAGCGTGGAACATTCATGTGCTGGGAAGGGGGCTTGGAAGAGGGGACCCATCAGGGACACAGCCCAGACTCACTGTCCCAGCCCCTCAACACCTCCCCCTTACCTTGGCTCCAGAAAACCCAAGGACATCGGGCTCTTTGGGGGTCCTGGTCATCCTGCACCGAGACCCCCAGAGGGACCCTGCCACCCCTCACCTCTGCTTTAGAAAACCCAAGCACAGCGGGTTCTTTGGGACCCCTGGTCATCCTGCACCCAGGCCTCCAGAGGGGCCCCGCCACAGTCCATCCCCTTCGCCCAGGTCCCCTCGGATCAGGGCCTGCCAGGGTGGTGTGGCAAAGGGGCCTGCATCGCGCCAACCTCTCGCAGCTCTCCAGCGGGTGCAGCCAGGCTCTGGCCCCCACACGCTTGGGCTTTGCTCCCTTCCCGTTTTATGAGGAATAAAAGGGGCTGTAAACCCTGCGCGTGGACAAAGTGCACCATATAAACGGCTCCTGGTAATAATGACATTTGCAGCGGTGCCCCTCAGCCAGGCATGTTCAGGGGGAGGGAGAGCCTGTCCCGGACACGCAGCATCTGGCCCCACCCCTGACAGAGGGGCAGGCACCACACACCACACACCACATACCACAGACACCACAGACACCACAGGCACGACCCTCCGAAGGACCAGCAGAGGCTGCACCTGGGGAGGCTGGGGGAGACGCGAGAACAGGGGCACTCCAAGAAAAGGCCAGGCTCCCTCTGACCCCATGTCCTCACCCCCATAGACACACACCTTCCAGCACGTGGCACTTTGTTAGGGACGTCAGTGGCTTGTGTTGCCACCTTATGAGGATAAGCAAGGCTGGGCGGTGGCTCTTTTGCCGTTTCCCTCCACGTAGCATGCCCTTGAGCCCTGGGACTCAGTTTCCCCATCTGACTCTTGGGTGTCTCACAGAGCCTTTCAAAGATTACAACGGGGCTGGGGGAAGACTGCGGCCAAGCCTGTGCCCCTTCCCTTCCTCTCACAGCTCCACAGGTGCAGATGGCCGTGGCCCTGTGCCACCCCTCTACAAACCACCAAGCCAGAGCAGGGTGGGGGTGCCAGGCCCCGGGGCTGAGGGCCACAGGAAGGCTTGGGGATTAGACGTGTTTCCCTTCCCTCTACATGCTCTGTCTCGCAGAAGCTGGCCCGGGAGGACTCCTGTCACCTTTTAAGGTGAATTTCCTATTAAGAAGATGCTTTTGTTCAGATATTGCCCAGTGGAATGTGCTTTCCTTAGTCCCACCCAGGGAAGCCAGCGGGCACCGCCTTGAGCAGTGACAGTGACCGGTAGTAGGGATCTGCCTGCGGCTGGAGGCCTCGTAGGAGACTTTCACGGAGTGCCTGGTCTCCTGAACCATCCGCGGAGGGGCAGAAGGCCCCTGGCACGTCAGATCTCTTGTCCTTGTTTAAACAAAATGGAATATTTTCCCCTTAATAAAACTCTTGGGAAGAATTGCCCATTTCTGTCTTTCAGGGACATCACCTTTCATAGAATGGCCCTGATCCCGAGTCATCCTGTAAAAATGGAATTTACAGCCAGGTGCGGTGGCGCACGCCTGTAATCCCAGAATTCTGGGAGGCCAAGGTGGGTGGATCACCTGAGGTCGGGAGTTTGAGACCAGCCTGACCAACACAGAGAAACTCCGTCTATACTAAAAGCACAAAAATTAGCTGGGCGTGGTGGCGCCTGCCTGTAATGTGAGCTAGCTGCTCGGGAGGCTGAGGCAAGAGAACCACTGGAACCCGGGAGGCGGAGGTTGCAGTGAGCGGAGATCGCGCCACTGCACTCCAGCCTGGGCAACAAGAGCAAAACTCCGTCTCAAAAAAAAAAAAAAAAAAAGGAATTAAAGGAATTTACTGCCAGTGCAGGGGTGTGCTGGGATGCTTTAACAATGGGCTCTCAGGGAGAAAACACATGCTTTGCTTTGGAGCATATTCCAGTGACCATGGTGTAAATATTCCCACCCAGGCTGATTGTCAAGCAACCCGAAATGCTGAACTCAGCAGGGGAGAGGATTGGCCATTTCAGGGTGTGGGGTGAGCGCCGGCTCCAGTGCCCCACAAGAGTGATTTTGACCATGGAAAGTTCTCAGTGGGACCTCAGGGGTTCGCCGCCTCTCCACGGGGTCCAGACCCTAGTCCAAGCAGCAATTTGCATCTCTCACTGCCCTCTTCACTCCCATCCCCACCCCCAGGGCCCACCTGACTCACTCCCTGCCTCCCCTCCCACCTGCCGCCTGTCCTGAGTGAGCCTCCTCCCTGGGCCCTCGGAGAGGGGAGCCGCCGGGCCGCACGAGTCTAAACAAGGACAGGGATCACGGTGGGGTTTGCATTCACACGCCCTCTTTGCTCCACTGAACTTCCTTGGAGCAGACCTCAGGTGCAGAGCTCTGGTGGAGCTGGCGGGGCCACAGGTGGGGCTGGGCTCCCCATGAGTCTCCTGGGAGGGTGCGGGACTCTGCCCGCAGCCCGTCTTGCTGCAGTTACCATTGGCTCCTGCGTCTGGGGCACCCACGTCACACCCTTCATCTGCTCAGTCAGCCCGAGGCAGCTCCCAGCCTCAGGAAAGCCCAGAAGCAATTGGAAGAGTCTGGGGGTGGGAGGCGCGAGGACATCGGACAGACCTGGCGCGGCCGGGCGGTGCAGGCCTGCTTCAGCCTTCTTTGGCCTGGGCTTGAAGGCAGGCCTGCGCCTGAGGGGTCTGCGGTGGTCTGGGGTGCTCCGCGGAGGTCTGGGGTGGTCTGCAATGGCCCGAGGTGGCCAGAGGGGTCTGGGGTGGTCTGCAGTGGTGTGGTGTGGGGTGGGGTGGTCTGGGGTGGTCTGCAGTGGTCTGGGGTGGCCTGAGGGGTTTGGGGTGGTCTGGGGTGGTCTGCAGTGGTCTGGGGTCAGCTGGGCCTTTGCCTGCTGTTTGGTGCCCAGTGCAGGCCCGCAGGTTAATGGTCAGTCTGGTCAGCCTGTGTCCTAGGGGATGGAGGTGTCAGATTTGGATGAAGAGCTGGGGTAGGGGGGCTCAGCACTGCCATGGTGGCGGCTCTGAGTTGGGGGTGACTGGAATGGGCCTGGGCCACCCCCACGCTGGCAGTGCTCCAACTCAGCTCTGAGCCCCTCTTTCCTTCCTGCCGCCACCCCCACACCCGGCTCTCATCACCTCACACCTGGGCTCTTGCAGCAGCCTGGCCTCCCCCTGGGCTCTGCACTCTGCACACAGTAGGCACCCTCTGCACACACCAGACCCTTGACTTGGGAGTGGGCAGGGAGGCCCCCAAACAGCACCCTCATCGTGACTCCGCTGATGCAGCTGGCCAGTGCCCACTCCTAGGGGAGAGCACGCAGGCCCAGCAGCCTCCCCTCCTCTCCCCGTGGCGAGAGAGAACCTGGGAGAACGGGGCCTGGGGAGCAGCGGCTGGACAGCCCTGGAGAGCTCTGCCGACCAGCCCTTGGGTGCAAGCTGTGCCCCTGCTGAGTCCCGCCTTGCTGGGACTCAGCTGTGAGGGCCTGTGGCTCTGAGGCTGGTGGGGACCATCCGGCTGCGCTAGGTCAGCAGCTCCACTGTGGGGTAGGCACTGGGAGGAGGGCAGGGAGGGGAGCTGAGCGCTCTGCTGGTGATGGGACCGCATCAGGCCCCTGGCTGCCCCAAGTTCCCCCAGCAAAGGCGAGACAAGCGTGTCGGGCCCAGGGCTGAGCAGGATGGCGTCCGGACACGGATGGAGGCACTCCGCCAGGCGTGTCCTCGAGAGCTGCTTGTAGGTGAATGCCCCTGTGCCACAGTTGTGAGTCAGGCCCTGGGCACGGGTAGCTCCCAGTTGAAAGGCCTGGCATGAGAAGTCAGACCCACTGGTCGGTGCAGGCCAGGCAACCAGAGGAAGTTTCTCAAACCCACAGGGCCCAGCAAAGCTTCCTCCAGCGATGGGAGCGTTCTGGGTCTTCCCAGTCCAGCCAGGAGACCCAGCCGCACGCGGCTCCAGAGGCCCTGGAACGTGGCTGATGCCGTGTTCATGATCGCAGTGTAAACAGCTGTGGCGGCTGGAGATGGCCACGCTGGACGGTGCGGAGCTGAGACGGGCCTTCGGAGCAGAGCGGGAGGTGCGACCTGTGCAGCTGTCACTCTGCTCTGTGGTTTAGGGTCACCAGGTAAAGTGCAGGATGGCAGCTGAATCTGAATCGCAGGTAAACGATGACTGTTCTCAGTGTGAGTGTGTGCCGTGTAATATTTGGGACACTGTTGGAGACAAATACTGAGGAAGCCTCTGTTCTTTATGTGAAATTCACGGCTTCACAGGTGCCCTGCATTTCCGTCGGTGGATCTGGCTGCCCTGTGCATGCACCGGCAGCAGGACAGCCTGTGTCCGGATGAAGCCTGCGGTCGGCAGTCGAGTGGTCAGTGGGAGGCTGCTGTTGGGCCTCTGGTGGTCTCGAGGACAAATGGAGTCTTGGCTGAGGACACAGAGGCTGTGGACTTGCCGGCTGTAGCTGCCCTCGGGCCCCCACACAACCTGGCTGCCCAGGAAACAAACTGGAGGCTGGAAACCGGCCCCTCTGAGCGTGGGCCACAGGCGAGGCTGCCTGCCGAGTCCTGCCCTCCCGCAGGCCCTGTCTACCCCGGCTGCCTTCCTTCCGGCCACCACTGAGGATGGGAGCATCCTGGGGGTCTGTGTCCAGGCAGCCAGCTGGATGCAGGAGGGCACCCCGGCCGCATGGAAGCTGCCTAGAAGTCCAGGCCCATCGTGCTGCGCTGGCCCTGGGCCTTCTGAATGTCATGGCTCCTTACTGGGCTGTGCTGGCGGGAAGATGGGACCTTGGGGCATTGGCTCTGCAAGTGTCTAAATGGGGGACAATTTCCAGTGTTCCCCCATCTCCCCTGCAGATTCCGTGGGCCCTGGGGAGGGGACACCCCTGCTGCCCACCCCTCCCTCCAGGGTGGAGTGAAGTGGCTCTCCCTGCACTGTCTGGGGCTCCCCTCGCCTCCAGTTTGTCTGAGGAGCTCTCAGGAGTGCTCAGAGGCTCGAGAAGAGGGAGGTTCAGGGAAGCAGCAAACTCTAAACCTTTGTTTCTTGGGAACCTGGGCTTGTAAGGGCTGGGTGTCTGGAAGGGCAGCGAGGCCCTGTGTGCTTGGGCATTGTGCGTGTGTCTGTGTGTGATGTGCATGGGTGTGTGCGGGTGTGGGGAGATGGGTGTGTGTGTGTGGGTGCAGGGAGGTGGGTGTGTGTGTGCAGGTGTGGGAAGGTTGTGTGTGTGTTGGTGTGGGGAGGTGTGTATGTGTGTGTCTGGGGAGATGGGTGTGTGTACAGGTGTGGGGAGGTGGGTTGGTGTGTGCGGGTGTCTGTATGTGGTGTGTGTGTGTTTGTGGGTGTGTGCGTGTGTGTGGTGGAGGAGGCTGGACTGCCCCTGTAGGATCAGAGTCCACCTTTGGAGGGGCCAGCCCGGCCAGGGCCACGGCCGAGATGTAGCCGGGGGACTCTGCAGGGGCCACCAGCACCTCACTTGGCCACCCTGGCTTCTCAGCTTTCCTGACGGCCTCCAAGAGAGGCAGGTGTGGTGTGGGATGCCAAGGCCCCTGTCCCATTGTGGCCCCATTGCCATTGCCATCCTCACCTAGGCTCCTTTGGGGCCTCATCTGGCCAGCTGGATGGTGGGCAGCCCCTGGCTGCAGGCCTCCACCTCCACTCTTGTCTGGGACACCTCCTGACATTGGGGCCCTGAGGAGCCCCCACCTCCCTCCTGCCCACAGCCCCTGCCCGGCTGTCTGGCCAGGGGGTGAGAGGTGCGTCTGTTCTCGCCTGGCCAGGCAGAAGGCAGGAAGGTTCCTAAGCTCTGCTGCCTGGAGGTCCCCGTGTGATCTGCAAATGTCGATCGTGTTTGGTTACATTTAATAGAGGAGAGGAAAATTTCTTCTGAAACCACCTCGTTGGCTTCAAACCAAGTGTGGGAAAGCAAGAGCATCAATCTTTCCCCTTTTAGAACAAGTTTTCTTTTTCCAAAGGGAAAAATTCCAGGCTCCATCTTTCTTTATGTGCCTTCCAGGCAGCGACCCCCCGACCCCCAGCTCCAGGGCTGGGTTGCCAATGCGACAAAGCAGACGGGCCCCCCCACCGGCACCTACCTGGGGCCTGCTGCTCCTTCCTCCAAGGTGCTCTGGGGTGTGAGTCGGAGCTGCACCCCAGAAACGGCTCCCGAGGAACAGTGTCTGTGAGGCTGGGTGCTGGGGCCGCCTGCACCCCCCTTCCCCTCCCAGGGCCCTGCGGGAGACTGCAGGTGGGCACGGACTCACAGCAGCCTCTGGAAAGGGCTGCAGAGGGGCTTGCTGGCTGACTGGCCAGGGACCAGGTTGGGCAGAGACCCCCAGGCGGGAGGGTTGGGGCTCACCAAGATGCTCAACTCAGATGAGAGGCCACCTGCCCACACTCTGGCAGGCCAGCTATCAAGACCGGGGGCTTCTGTCCTCTTTCACCCCTCCTCTCCCTCTCCCTGCCCACAAGGGTCTTCTTATACCCAGGCACCGGCCCCCGTTCCTGTGCCCTCTCTCCTCACCCTCGTCCAACTCCAGGAGCTGCCTGTGGTCCTGAGGCCTGGAGCTGAAGTCCTGCATGGCACCAGTAATTGTAATGGCCACATGTTCCCCTGCAGAAGAAAGGGGAAAAAAGACCTTTTCCAGCTGACATCCAGGCCGGGGGAAGCAGAGCATTTGAGAGGCGCAGGTGCAGGATCCCAGCCACGCCCAGCCCCGTCACCAGGCAGGGCTCCCTGGGGCACAGGTGTGCTCGGTGGCTGGAGGCCCCTGACTGCTCCCTTTGCGCAGGGAGCTCAGTCCTCCCAGCCTCTGTGTGGACCATCGCCGAGTGTCTAGGCCTGAGCAGGTACAGGCGATGCTGTGGATGCTGGCCAACCCCCTCTGTGCTGTGTGCCTCCTGATCTTCCCAAATTCCACCCCTGTCTGGTCCCGAGCCAGGGATGGACCATGGCCTGAGGGTGGGCACAACCCTGACCCCTCTCCCTGTGTCTCATCCACTTGCTCTTGCCACCTGGATGGGCACAAAAAACCCGATGGCCGTGGAGATCCAGGAGAACCCCTAGAAGAGCCTCGGGCACCCCCTCACCCACGATGACCATAGAGGGCCAGGGGAACCCAGAGGAACCTCAGGCACCCCTCAACCCATGACGGCCGTGGAGGGCCAGGGGAACTCAGAGGAGCCTCAGGCACCTCCTCAACCCATGACCCATGACGGCTGTGGAGGGCCAGGAGAAGCCCCAGAGCAGCCGCAGGCACCTCCTCCCCACAGTGGCTGTGGAGGGCCAGGAGAACCCTGAGGAGCCCCGGGTGCCCGCCGCCCACAGCGATGCCCTGACCCCTGGCTTCTTGAGGACCACCTTCCCATCCCCTGGTAGATGCTAAAAGGGAGGACACTGGCTGACGGAGCCCCTGACCTCTCCCTCCTGACCAGGTGGCCATTCTGGGAAGCGTGGGCTGAGGGGCCAGCAGCACAGCCTGTGCCCTGGCCCTGAGTGCGGCTGGCAGGTGGCCTTGGGAAGGTCTCCCTGCCAGGTGTGAATGGTGGGCACTGCTGCTGCCACTGCCACCTCACTGGGTCCAACAGCCAGGGACCAAGTGCATGTCTGCTCAGCACAGGTGGGCAGTGAGGGGCAGCCCATGTTCATGGCACAGTCCCTGCCAAGTGCCCACTGTGTACCCACCCCGGGGGACAGTCCAGGAGGGGCTGGTGGGAAGAGAACAGGGTGTGGCTGAGCTCCAGCCTTGGGTGTGGGCTCTCGGTCTCAGAGGGATGGCCAGTGGCAGAGAACAGAGACCTGGCTGAGGGCAGGTTTCTGCACTGTCACTGGTGAATGAGCACTGGGTCCCCAGGCTTGAGGGGGCTTCAAAGGGGAGAATGCCCTGAGCAGGGGCTGGGGACAAGAGAAGGAAGGCCTGCATCCTGGAGCGAGAGCCAGTGCTACAGCCAGGAGGGGCCAGTCCCACTCCCTTATTTGACACACGGAGAAACTGAGGCTGAGAGTGGGATCTGGGTTTGCCTGACGGCCGGGCCTTGCTTTCTTTGTGTTTATTTCTTCCTGATGCCCCTGCCTGGGGGTCTATGGGTAGATGAGCAGGTGCTGGGGCCCAAGCCTCTGCTCCCGGCCCCACTCACTGTCAGCCTGGACAGTCGAGGCCCTTTGAACTGCCATCCCCGTGGGCAGCAGCATAAAGGGTGGGAGCGCAGCCGGGGCAGGGGACTGGCAGCTCCTGGGCGAGAAGCTTCCAGGAAGTGGAACTCAGAAGAAACCAAGTCTCACTGAGCGGGCTCCGTGGCCACCCGTCTGCCTGGACCCCGGAAAGCAAACTTGGGAAGCAGGAAGCAGTGGAAAGAGAAACTTTAGCAAGGGAGGTGCGCCAGGCCAAGGCCTCTGGGAGAGCAGCATCACGTGTGAGACGTGGCCGGGTCACTGCCCCCGCCGTGCTGCCCGCTGCCCTGTTCTTTCCGTGAGCTGCAGCTTTCCTCATCCCCCCGCCCACCCGCCTTGCTCTGCACCTCAAACTCCCTGCCCAGCCCACCCAGCTGTGGCTACTGGCTGAGAAACCGAGGCCCACAGACCCTGGGCAGAGGGAGACAGGGGACAGAGACAGGCAGGGCCGGGGTGGGGGCTGCACAGAGACCCACACAGGGTGATCCTGGGCCATCCTGGCTTCGAGGGGGGCCATGGTCCCTGACTGCCCAGGTGTCTTCGAGGGCCTCTTTAGGGCACGCCTACTTCCAGCCCTGGAGCTCAGCTTCCTTTTGCTAAAGAGTCAGGGAGTGTGGCCACAGAGACAGCTAGGCAGTCAGGCGCCGTGGAGGGCCCAGGCTGCTGAGGTGACACAAGTGGAACTCGGGGGCAGCTGCCGCTTGATGCCGTCACACGGCCAGTCCGCCGCCCGTCCACTGCCAGGCTCACGGGCTTCACCCTCTGCCCCGACCTCTGGCTTTCAGGCCTGTGAGGGACGGGTTCTCAGACACCAAGCATGTGGTCTGACGGGGCTGCACCCTTGCCCACTGGGCCCACAGCTCTGCAGCAGGCACCTGGGGCTCCTCCCTCTGAGAATGCACAGGCTCAGCCCGGGGCCGGGCTTGCAGGGGCCACCAGCACACGTCCCATGGCTCAGGGCCGGATGGGGACTGGCCGGGGAGATGGAGCTCTGGGCAGCATGGACTAGGCAACATCTCGCCACTGCCCACGCCAGCACCAAGGCCTGTCCTCTCCAGGCGGTGCCCTCGCCGGTCCTGCTGGCTCAGCTGCCCCTCCCATCCCACTGGTCTCCACTGGCTGTGAATGGCAGTCCCAGCTGCTATACCAGCCTGGCCCGGGCCGCCCCCTGCAGGGGCAGACATCACTGCCAGCCTCATCCCCAGCTCTCAGGCACCGGCCGTGTGGGGCACAAGAGCGCCCAGGGAGGCTGCTGGCCTTTTTTGGGCCTGTCCACTGCAGGGCCACCTGTGCCCACCAAGGGGGGCCAATCAGCACAGCCGTCTGCACAGGCGCTCAGGCCGAAGGACGGTGGCTATTTCAGGGCCTGGCGTCAGTTTCCCTGTCCTCTTCCCAAAGAGGAAGGGAATGTAGACGCCTGGCCCGGACAGGCGCCAGCCAGGCACTTGGAGACCCCAGAAAGGGCAGCAAGGAAGGGAGCAGAGAGGCCAGCCCAGGCCCGTCCAGCTCCCCTTTCTGCCCATGAGCTCACGGGTTCTGGCCCTCGGGCAGTTTCGAGGCCCCCATGTCACCGTCTCCCCACACCCTGGTTCCAGGAGAGGGTAGGGGAAACGGCCCTTCCTCCGGGGCATGCAGGGTGGGCCAGGTGGCCCTGGTATTCCCTTTTGCTTTTGCAGCTTCTCCCTGCCCCAGGGTTGGAGGGAACCTCAGCCCCCTCTGACGACACCGCGGGGGCCCCAGACCCTTCGAGAGGCCACTCTGGTGCCTCCATTGTGAAGCCCTGGCTTTGGGGCTGGGCTCAGCAGCTCTTGGAGGACAAATCAGGTCCCTCCTCCCTTGCCAGCTAGTAAGGCCGCCAGGCTGGCACAGGATGAGAGTGAGCTACAGACTGTTTTAGAGGGAGGCTGGGCCCTCCTTAGGCTGGCTCGGGACGGTGGGGAGGGGCAGTCTTCATCACAAATGGGTGGCAGGCGGCTCAGCACACACGGCACTCCCCGAGCCTCTGCAGGCATGAGTGGCAGTCAGCCGTGTTCCCTCTGCCCTGCCCCGTGCCCCTGCGCCATCTCCTCCACTCCAGGAGAGACCAAGGGAACCAGTGCTGCCCTGGTGGGGGGTTTCTCTCTCCAGCAGGTCACCTGGCGAGGAGGGCTCCAAGCCTCAGCGTGAATACTTAGACCCCCCCCCACCACTGCATCCTGGAGAGCGAGCGAGTGGGGAAGACGGAGGGGGCTGGGGGAGCTGTGGCACAAGCAGGGCGAGTAAGATGGAGCAGGAGGGAGCTCCACCAATCAACCCAGCCAGCTCTGGAGCCACCTGGAACACTCAAAGGGAACGTCCTTCTGTCCCCAAGAGCCCCACTTTAGGGCTGTTTGCTGGGCTGACTCCCTGGCCTGCAAGACCCCAGGTTGCTCACTCAGCCCAAACCCCCACCCATGGCACGGACCGCCCTCTCAGCCAGCCCACTCGGCTGGCTTCCCAGGACTGCCAGGGTGAGCTTCCGAAAACTGCTGGGGCTGGTTCTGTGTCCTCTGGGGAGACACCCTGGTCAGTGCTTCCCGGGGCTGAAAACGCCCAAGGAGCTGACCGCATGCCCGGCTTGTTTTCTTCCTGGGACAGTAAGAAATGGGCGCAGGGTTTGGAGAGGCTGCCAAGCTGCTCCAGCCCCAGGGTGCTGGGGGTCAGCACCAGTGTCTGAGTGCCCGGGTCCTCAGGAGACAGGTTACCCGGGCTGGCTTGAGCTCCCAAAAGCAAAGCTGGCACTACCCACCCACCTCGGGGCAGAGCCCCTGTCAAGACCCAGAGCTGTCCCAGTCTGCTCCTGGTGAGGCGGGGACAGAAACCAGAAGACCTCCCTGAGCTAGTGGGCTACCAGCTCTGCCTGCTTGGAGTTGGGGCTGGGAGAGACAGGGGCCGGCGAACACAGAAAAGCTAAAGTCTGGCTAAATCCTGTAGGCTCGGGTGGGTTCTGTTTGACCACAGGCCTTTGACCTGGGGTCGACAGTCTTCCCCTCCAACCTGGAGCTCAAGGGTGAGCTTCAGCCTGGATGGGGGCATTGGGGGCTTGGAGGGTCCTGGACGCTCAGAGCTGGGTGCCAGATGGGAGTGCTGGCCAGCCCTTGGGAGCAGTGCTCCAGGGACAGTGGGCTCTGCCTGCAGAGAGCTTGCAGTCTCCCTGGGCAAACACCAGGCAGGCCTGGAAAGCGTGTGTCATTGAGCTGTGCCAGGACGGCAAGCCGGGAGTATGTGCTCCTTGGGGAGCGGGGCCCAGGTCTGGGCTCCAGGGCTGCCTCTTGGCTGGATACCCAGCTTCACATTTGGCTCAACACAGCAAGGAGGGGTCAGGGGTCTCAGGCAGTCAGGCCTCCAGTCTCAGTCCTCACACCACTGCCCCCGGGCGCAGGACCAGCACACGGACAGGCACAGGCCACAGCGCTGGCGGTGCCCGGAGGAGGGTGTGTACGTGGCTAGCAGCTGTAGGCGTCCTGGGGGCTGCCAGGCCTCTTGCCTCACCCTCCCCTTCAGGGCAGCATGGAGTTTTGGGATTTGACCTTCACCCATTTCCAGATCCTTCCAGGGCTCCCCTGGAAGCCCCTGCCACTCCACACTGTGCCAGGCCCCAGGTGGAGAGAGCTCCCACCTGTCCAGTGCTGTGGTGTGGGGCTGTGGGGGGTGGTGCTGGGTGGGGCATAGCCTGCTGCTTTGAGGGACACTGACCTTTGAATTGAGGAGGGTCCTGGGCCTTCAGCAGGGGAGGGACACAAGGCCACAGCCCCCTTGGCCTGCCCGAGCAGATGACAGCCAGGTCTGGAGGGGCAGGCAAGAGAGGAGGACGGCACAGGTTTCAGCCCAGCATGTCACCTGAAGGCCTCAGTGTCAGAGGCAGGGCCCCTGGGGCCGCCCCAGCTCCCTTGAGCCCCAGAAGTCCAGGAACACACAGTGCCCAGACACTGCACCAGGAAGCAGAGGCCTTGCCCAAAGGTGTCGGGGCCGGGGCTCCCCAGGCGGCTGCTGAAATGGCCCACTATGTCTGCACCTGTGCCCCAACAGGGCATCCACACCCATGCCTGCCTGCGTCCACTCCTGAAAAGCTGTCAATAAAAGCTCATTTGCAATGGACCAGGATGCCAGGGGGGTCTCCAGGTGGGCAGGGGGCTCCCCAGGTGGCCAGGGGGTTTTTCAGGGGTCTCTCCAGGTGGCCTCAGGGGACCCTTCTGTGAAATGGCTCATCGTCTACTCGGATTTCTTCAAGTGGGACCCCTTTGCCTTTGACCGAGGCCCACAGGCCCTGGGCAAGTGGACAGCTGGGGGGAAATGTGGGTGGGTTTGGGAAGCTTTGGTTTGAGCAGAGGGGCTGCGGACCCTTCTGGAGCTAGGAAGGCCAGCCCAGCAGAAAGCGCTGGCTGAGGGTGGTGAAGGGAGCCCTGGCCAAGGGGCTCTTGGCAGATAGGTGGGCGGGCGCTGTGAGGCCTGCTGGCCGCAGCCACACAGCAGGCAGCGGGCCGGGACCTGGGAGTGATAAATGGCTTCCCCAGGAGCCAGGCGGCTCTGCCAGGGCCTTCTCAGTCCTCTGAATTCAGTCTTGTTGACCCTGAGGCCCAGTAGGGCCCCTTCGAACAGGGCTGCTTTGTGGCTGAGGTGGGGGTGTTGCTTGCAGTGGGGTTTGTACGTGCAGGGCTGGCATGGGGGGCACAGGGAGTGCCAAGGAGGCCCTGCCAGCCCAGGGGGAAGCTCAGCTGTTGGAATTAATGGCAGCAGCCAGACCCTGGTGCCCACAGGCCCTGGGTTGGGAGTTTGGAGGGGGCAGCAAGCCCCCGTGTTGAGGTTCAGCTCAAAAACGACTTGGCTCAGCTCAGCTTTCACTGCCCTGTGTGCTCACCAGGGAGCATTCCCTGTGCTCCTGGGTGCCCGCACAGCGAGGTACATGCAGGGCCTCTTCTGGCTGTGACCCCTCTGTGTCACGGGGGTGACATCGTTCCGGTCGTTGAGGCCCAAGGCCCAGGAGATGGTATTGAGAGCAGAGCATGGCCCAACGCCTCCAATGTGCCCTGCCTGCCATGGCCGCTCTGCCTGCCCACCTCCAGGGAACCCCACAAGGAGGAGGCTTTAGGCGAGAGGCCCCTCAGCCACCACAACATCACTGGTCCTTGCCCCCAGTCTACCCAGCCCATCCCTGCCCCTCTGCCTGCCCGGCCCACCCCACTGTTCTAGGAAACCCTCACGCAGCACCTAAGAGAGGCTTTGGGTAGGCTGGCTTCCCCGGCACACTTTGGGGTCGTCTTGCCCTTCTCCTGCCCCCTTAGAAAGCCCTCCTGGCCCCTTTGGCCCTGGGATATGTCCCATGCCGGTCTCTGCTGCCCAGTCAAAGGCCCCATGTCTTGGTTCCCAGGGCTAAAGCCAGTGTCCCTGGTGGCCTGTCCCAAGGAGGACCCATCTGCTGACAAGGCCAGGTGGGGACCCAGAGCCGTGGGTTGTAAACTGCTGATGGCAGGGCTGCCCCAAAGCCCTTCTCCTCCGGGCTTGCTGGTGGACCAGGGCCTCGGGGCCCCCCCGACAGTGCCCTCACACCAGAGTGGAAGGAGGCTCCCAGCTCCCGGTGTGGCTGGCGTTGGGGCAGGCTGGCTGCCTGCGTCTTTGGCTCCCTGGGACCCTTTGGCACTGCAGGCCGGGGAGGAAGCGGGCTGGACCTGCTGCAGAGCCGCTTGGATTTCGCAGGCCCTGCACCTCTTTCTAATGGCTCTTTCTAAGAAACCCCTCAGAACCTTCTGCAGGAAGAGAAGGCCCGGGAGGCGTGGACGGGGCCTCAATGGCTCAACAGGTTGGGCTTTGGGGAAGGCAGAGAGGCCTCTCGCTCTGTGCCAAACTCAGCCTCGGCTGCCTAGAAATGAATTTCCTGGGACCCCAAACTCTGGCTCTGGGCGCAGGGTCTCTATACCGTGCCTCAATGTGCTACCCTCAGACATTACCTCTGCAGGGGACCCTTCTTCCTGCACCCCCTTGCTGGACCCTGCAGACTGATTGGGCCCACTGGGCTGGAGCAGCCCGGCTGGGATTAGAGGAAGAGGAAATAGTGACAATGGCAGTGGGAGGCAGAGTGGCCCCACACACACATCCACCATGGCTCAACACGTGTGTTTATCAGGCAGAGCCACGGGCTGGCCTTGGGGGCTGGTAGGAACCATGAGCAGATCCCAGGGCAGCCGCACCCACCCCAGCCTGGCTTAGACCTGGGTGCCTCGGAGCTCCCCGGAGCCTGCCTGCCGGGTCGGGAGGCCTGTGAGGCCTCGGGGAAATAGGGGCTCAGGCCCACAGCTTGGGCAGGGGGGCTAGGCCCATCAGGGAGCCCCAGCAGGCCAAGAGACACCCAAGGGGGCACTCAGGGATTCAAGGGGGCCCACAGCCTCTGCCCATTGGGGGTTCTGCTGACTAAGATGTGGCCTGCTGTCCTGATAGCCTGATGGCCCAGGTGGACATGGGACGGGGAAGTGTGGCCCACCAGGGAGCCACCGCCACCCTCCCTGGCCAAAGTACGTGGACCTGTGCCAGGAAGACCTCCGTGCTCTCTCCTCTCCCCTTGTGAACAGAGCCCATCCATCAGGGGCCCTGCACCCACAAGAGACGTCCCACAGAGCAGGACCACCTCGGAAAGGGAGGTTTGAGAGGGCCCCAGAAGGTGCAGGAGGGAAGGACAGCTGCGGCCCACAGCAAGCAGACCAGGGTGGGCCACGCCCGAGTTCAGCGGGGGGTGTCACGCATGTGAGGCCGGGGAATAGCTGGGGTCTTGGGCAGCCCTATGTGTCCAAAGCATTTCCTCGCGTCTGAGGTCAGTGATCAGGGTTTCCACCACGCCAGGGCCCAGGGAAAAACTGAGGCCCATCGGGCTTGAGGATGCACCCTGCTCCAGGCCCATGGGGGGCAAGATTCTATGTGGAAAGCCCAGCCACCACCTTCACAGACAATGCCGTGGGCTCCCTGGGGGCAGCACCAGCAGGGTGGTGTGGGACTTTGCTCCACATGCCCTGGGGCCCTCATGGGGCAGAGGATGGGGTGGCGAGTGGGTGCACAAGCACTTTGCAGTGAGGCCTGCCCTGCTCACAGCCTGGTGCCGGCGTGGGGCCTGAAGTGGGAAAGAGCATGAGGGTTTTTCCACATACGCACTGTCCTCTCTGAGTGGCGGCAAGGTGGAAAGAAAAGCCCAGAGCTGTGCTCCCTCGGGCAGCAGGTCCTCCGGACGGCACTCGGGTGCCACTGCTGCAGTGATGAGGTGGGGGCAGCATGGCCCCAGTGGCCTGGGCAGGGAGGCTGGCGTCAGCGGGGGAATCTGTTGACCTCAGGAGGTGCCAGGGCTGGAGCGGCACTGGGGAGTGCCATGTGCTGTGTGTGCTGAGCCACGTGGACTCGTGAGGCTCTGGCCTTGGAGCCTGGGTGGCCGACACCGACCCTGGTGAGTCTGAGAGTCCATCTTGCTCGGACGGTCTGTGATCCGCTACCTTACTCGTCTGTGGCTGCGCCCCCTCCACACCTATCCTGAAGTCAAAGCTCCACCAGGCGCTGCCTTCTCCAGGAAGCCAGGTCATCGGAGCCAGCAACATCTTCCTTGTCCAAGGCCAGGTGCTGACATGTGACCCTCACTGTGGGATCTAGAGCCCCCCCTCTCGTTTTGTGGGTGAGTGGCACGGCTGGGCTTCCAGGCGCTCCCCTCTCGTTTTGTGGGTGAGGGGCACAGCTGGGCTTCCAGGAGCCCCTCTCTCATTTTGTGGGTGAGTGGCACAGCTGGGCTTCCAGGTGCTCCCCTCTCGTTTTGTGGGTGAGGGGCACAGCTGGGCTTCCAGGAGCCCCCCTCTCATTTTGTGGGTGAGGGGCACAGCTGGGCTTCCAGCTCCCTGATGACGGGAACCTGGGCAGGGGTCTCCTGAGGGACTGCGGAGGGTCCTCTATGGGACAGCAATGCATGGGCAGCCATGAAGGGCCCCTCTCATCTTGGGGCAGCTGTAGGGGGAGAGGCCAGTCGTATCATGAAAACACAGGGAAGCCGTGTGGTGCTTTTGCAACCAGGCCGGGAGCCTCTGTCTACAGGGCCACTGGTGGGGCCCTCGCCTGTGTCTGGGGCCTTGCTTCGGTGGCAGTCCTGAAGCTGTGCTGTCTCTGTTCGCCAGCCTGTGGCTCCCCAGGCCTCCCTTCCTTCCTGCCTGAAGCCTCTGGAAGCCCCCCAGCTCCTGCCTCCCTCCAGCTGGCTCCGGCCTGGTGTTCCAGGACCCGGCCCTGCCCTTCCCTGCTGAATCCTCTTCTTTCTGTCTGTGCCTTCCTCCTCCAGCTGAAGCACAGGCTCCGGCACCCGCTCCCACCCTCTGCCGCAGGCGGGGCTGTGTCTACATCGCCTGGCACCCCCCAATACACTTCCTACAGCCCTCAGTCCCCTGGCTCCTCAGAGAACATGGCCATGGCCTGTACCAGAGTTCTACACACACTCAGGCCCCATCAAAGCAACAGGGTCCCCAGCCAGCTCAGAGGCATCCCAGCATCCTCTCTGTCCCAGCCCCCCACCCCATCCCGCCTGCATTCCCTCAGTGCCCCCCCCACCCCCAAGCCCAGTCCTTCTGTCCTGCTGCAAGCTGCTCACAGCAGGACACGCAAACCTCAGCCTAACCCCAGATTCCAGGCTGTAGGCTGTCCGCTGGCTGCAGAGATAAATCGAGGAAGTCTCCCCCGGCCCTGGCCCCGGCCAGCCCCCTGCAGTGGGCAGGCAAGGGAAAGGAGAGACCCCAGAGGCCTGTTTGCTGTCCCAGCTGGGCTCACTGCACGCCCCTTCCTCTGCCCCAGCCCTGGCCCCGGCAGATCTGAGGACACAGCTCTCTCCGCTCAGAGGCTGTTCCATGGGAGCCTGTCCGCTCAGCCCGGGGGGAGGGAGGATGCCGACAGAGAGCTGCTCTTCTGGGAAGGGGAGGCGGCTTCCAACGCCCAGCTGCTCAGGGTGGGACCCAGGGGACCCCTGCGGAGGCTCCAGGATATGCCCCCAGCCCCACCAAAGCGGTCTGCACACTCCATCCCTCAGAATCCCAACCCCCATCAGCCTGGCCTGGGGGCTCGTCCTGACTAGAACCGTCCCATCATCAGCTTCTCTAGAAGGGTCCTTGGTGACAGGGCGATTGAACCCCCTCCTTTTCTGAAGGGCAACTGAAGACCCCTTAGGGGAGAAGGGGGGTGTACAACTCCAGCCAGGAGGTGGGGTAGCTTCGCCGTGCTCCCCTCGCCCACAAGGCCCCTTCCACACCTCCCCATTGGGACTCCTCCTGTTCCTCACGGCACCTTGCTGGTGAGGGGCCACATTGCAGTCCGACCCCTCACCGTGGGTGGCTGAGGTGGGGATGGCCTCTGTAGCCAGTGCCTCCACCAGACCAGATGCCTACAGTGCCCAGCAGCCCTGGTCCCTGTCTGCCCCTACTTCAATCTGCTGTCCTGTGAGGCTTGCCTCTGGCCTCAGGTTGCTCATAAAGCCTTCCTGACCCATTGGGCCTGACAGCCAGCTGCAGATGGGAGGCCAGGAGGCTGGGAACCCTCCTAGGGCGTCCCTGTGACAGAGGCCCAGAGTGCTGGGAGCCTCAGGGCCGGGCCAGGCTACAGGGAGGTGGGTGACTAGGCAGGACTCCTTCCCAGCAGCTTCTGTCAGTGGCAGAAGGCGTCTGGCTGCCCAGGCTCCAAGGGAGGGCCTCAGCTCATTGCATAGGGTGCTGCAGCCTGGGGGGCCTTGGAGACCCCTTCTCTCCGGGGTTCTGGCCTTAGGGACTCCTGTGCTGAGGGCTGAGGCCCCAGGCTCTGTCTCCAGTTGGGCCAGGGGTGGCACCCTGTGGCCCCCAACACCCGTAGCAAGTGTGGGAGCCAGGGCCAGGGCTGGGAGCTGTTGGTTCCCAGGCTGCAGCTGGAGTTAGAGGCCTCTGTGACCAGGCTGGGAGCTCAGCACAAGCCCAGACTTGGGGCTTCCTTTGGAGCCCAGATGGCTGCTGCCTCTCTCCACCAAGTGACGGGTCTCAGGGGGCCTAGGATTGGAAGGACCCCATCATCTGGGATGAGGGTCTCCACGTGTTATAAGGGAAAGGAGGCAGGGGTGAGGGGCTCGGCAGCCCCTCCCTGCTGCCTGGGAGATGAAATCAGATCTGGAAAGGTCCACCCCCTCCTCAGGACCTGGGAATACGGGGACAATGGCTGGTAGGAAGGGCCCAGCTTTGCGGGTGGCGGGAGGGGGCTGGGGTCGCTTCCCACCTGCACCCCCCCTAGGAGCCCCACCTCAGTGGCCAAATGGGTGTCATGCTGCCCACTGACCTCACGGGGGCGCAGGAGACAACAAAATTTCAGCCGGTTCAAGGGACGGTCCCTTTGTGGCTGGATCCTCTGGGCTGAGCGGCTTAGTGGGGGCTCAGCGGGGGCTCCCCAGCCGTCTCTCAAAGACGAGCCACCCTGCCTGACCCCACTCACCTCCCACCCTGAACAATGTCCCCTGACCTTGCAGCCCCTCTTGCCTCTGTCCTCCTCCCTAGGCCGCTCTCCCTTCTCCTCTCCACTTCCCCACTCCCTCTCCTTGGGCCAGGCCCACCCCAGACAGGCTGGGGACTGAGGCTCCCTGGGGGCGGTGGGGGCGGGAGGAAGGGGTCTGCAGCTGGGGCGGAGGGGCCACAGGTCCCAGGCAGCCGAGGGGAGCGGGCAGCTCTGGGAAGGGCCTGGGAGCCAGGTGTGGCCCCTGCCCAGGAGCTTGGGAGAGGTGGCTGAGGACTCCAAAGCTGGGCGGAGGCCCTGGATAGGAGTGGGCTGGGGAGAGGAGATGAAGAACTGAGGCACAGAGGGGCCGGAGACAGGCAGAGGGCAGCCCAGGGGCTTGGGTGGGGGATTCCAGGGACATTGAGGAGGTGGGAGGGAGAGGGAGAGGGGAGGAGACCCAGCTTCAGGCAGGAGCAGTGAGGGGTGTGCTGGGGGTCCCACTGCCAGAGCCAGACTCCCGAGGGTCAGCAGGGGTGCTCTTCACAGGGGACCCGGGGGAGCTATCCAGGAGTAGCCAGAAAGATAGACTCAGGGACGGCTGTGGGAGGCGCTCTCCCAGGTCTGAGGCTGACGGTACAAGGAGAAGAGACATAACCGTCCCCTCCAGTACTGGGGAGCCATGGGAGGTTGCTGAGCAAGGACAAGCCTGCCAGAATCTGGATGGGAAAGTGGACGGTCCCTCCTGACCGCCCCCCTCCAGCTCTACCAAGGAGGCCCACGCCCAGGCCTGGCCAGCTCCCAGAGTCCCGGGCTGTCGGGGTGGGGGCCGCTCACTTCCCCTCCTGGGCTTGTCAGACACAGTTGAGCCACGTGCATCTTTCAGCAGACACTTCCTAAGTTTCTAAGCAAATTTTCTTCCTCCTGGCACTGGTTTGGCTCTGGGCCCAGAGGAGACATTCCTACGGGGGTCTTCCCAGCACACCTTGGAGGCTACAGGGCTGGCCTGTGTTGGGTGGGGCAGCACGGGATGGGGGGCTCCTTCTCCCTTCCAGTCTGGATGCTGGGACTCTGGGCAGAGAGAAGCTCTGGCAGGGGGTGGCAGCTGGAGGGTAGAGAGTGGGAGGGAGGCTCAGCTGCCAGCGTTCCAAACAAGCTGGGAAAGAGTTGAGCAGAAGCCCCCAGCGCTTGAGAAGGGTGAGCGGCTGGGGACTAGCGAGCCATGGAAGGCTGCACGGCAGGAGGTGGGGAGTCCCAGGCGGAGGAGCTTTAAGGGCCTGGGCCAGACAGGGTTCCCCGAGGGCTTGGACCACCCCAGCCCTACCCCCGCATCTTAGATCCCCCAGCGGCCCACCTTAATAGCTTCCTCCCTTCTCAAAAGGCCAGTCCTGAAGCAGATGATGTACACCTGTAACTCAATAAGCCCCAGCTGGTGGCAGCCCCTTGACATGTGAGCGGCGTTCCTCAGCCTCTGCCATCATGCACCACCACCCTGCAAGGAGGGCACAGCAGAGAGAAACTGGGCCCAGAGGACCCCAGGTGGCCACTGCTGGGCCAGGCGGACACTCAGGTCTCAGGGCCCTCAAGACACCTCCCGGTCTATCCCCAGGGCAAGGAGCACGCCTTGTTTCCCTCCTGCTCTTCCTCTCCTGGGCCTCAGTTTCCCCATTTGTTCTTAGCTCCTGCTCAGCTGGGAGGTGCCATGCTATGATCTCAGAACTACGTGGAACTGAGAATCCCCAAGAGGAACACTCCTATGGCAGAGGGGTGGCATGGAGGGCACAGGGAGGAGGGTCTTCCCCCCCGACAGCATGCGGGTCCTTCAGGGCCCCCAGCCTCTGGGTGTCACCCTTCCTTGAGAGGTAGATGGCTCAGGCCTGGGCCCAACGCAGCCCAGAGAGGTGGGGGGGCTTGCAGGTAAGGTCCTAGGCCTTTGTCTCTGTGCCTCTTCCCAAAGTAGGGGACCATCTGTCAGGCGGTCCTGGAGTCTGGGAGGGTGGGGTGGGCAGGCAGGGGAGCCCAGGGAGAATGGGCAGACGGGAAAGGCCCCGAGAGCCAGGGGCTGGGGACCTGTAGCAGGTCGGGGGACAGGCGGGGATCTGATGGGTGTGGGCAAGCCAGCTTGGCGGGCTTCCCTGCTGGCCACGAGGCCGCCTGGGGACCAGGAGGGGACCTTTTCGTGGAAAACGGATCAAAAGCCGGCTTATTGAATTTGCTTTTCTCTAACCTTTGCTTCCTGGCTTGTGCAACTGCCCTCCTGCGGCCTTCGCCTTTGCCTGGGGGTGACAGCCCCCAGGTTCCCAGGGCACAGGCACCTCCTGTGGCAGCTCAGGGGGCACTTGAGCCCTGGCCGTGCCGGGCTGTGGGGCAGAGGCTGCAACACCACCACCTGCCCCGTCAATCAGCCCAGCTCCCTTCCCAGCCCCAGGCCTGGGCCAGGCAGGCGGAGGGGCCTCGTGGATTTTTTTTGCCGGCTTAGCTCCTTGGCCCTGGGGCTGGAGCTGGGTGGGTCATGTTTGTGGGCGGGGGTGGGGAGTTTCGACTGAGGTCAGAAC
The DNA here is from genome assembly GCF_000001405.40 of Homo sapiens. Taxonomy (NCBI): domain Eukaryota; kingdom Metazoa; phylum Chordata; class Mammalia; order Primates; family Hominidae; genus Homo; species Homo sapiens. Next base: position 232,284 of record NW_021160004.1, read on the forward strand.
CAGGCAGGGACTCACAGGTCTCTCTGTGTTTGGGGGGGTTTTGGGGGGGCTGGTGAGGGGCCTCCATTTGCTTGCTAGCTTGAACCACTTCTGAGCCTTCTGAAACAGGCAAATCTTCGTCCTCCTCTGATGGGGCTTGGTTTGTAGAAACCACCCAGAGGCTCTGGGAGCCACATATGGGGAGGCCCAAGGTAGGGGGAGGTCTGGGGGGGCAGGAAGGCCCATCGGAGGAGAAGCCGAGGTGTGAGGAAGGCCTGGGTTGGGGCAAGTGGAACCGCAGAGATGGTTCTGGGTGAAGAGCAGGGCAGACAGGAGGCAGTCCCACTGCACCCCAAGGCCAAGTGTGCTGTCCTAAAGGACCTCCTGGAGAGGCCATTGTGGGGTGAGAGCTGGGACACCTGGGCTGGCTGGAAGATCCATGTGGGAGTCCACTCCAGCGCAGCTGCCGGGGAATCCTCTAGTGGAAGGGCAGCCCAGAAGCCTCCCTGACACCCCCACAGTTCCCATGAAGGCTTCCAGAGGGAGGTGCATGGGCTCTGAGCCCTGTGCCCAGGCCTTGGGGATTCCTGGTGTCCCAGCCCCCCAAGGGGGCAGCCTTGGACAGACCTGCCCTTCTCTTGGCATTCCTTGCCTTGCATGGCCTTGTGCTGGGGGCTCTCCTGGGTTTCAGAGCACCCTGTAAAGATGGCATGTTGGTCCCCATGAACAGATGGGGAAATAGAGGCCTGCCTTTGCTCATCACCCCCTGATGCATGTACATTCCTAGAACAGTGTGTGACGCAGAGCAGGTGCTTTGGCCACAAAGGTAAAGAGCCTGTGAGAACATCCAGCCCCCAAGACATGCTCAGGAATAAAAGCGAAACACCCAGCATGGAGCCCAGCACATGGGGTAAGTAAATCCCACAGCATGACGTGGGCATGACCTGGTCCTTCAAGATGTGCAGCAATGCTACCACAGAGCCCAGCAGGCTGTGGGGATGTGGTAAGGAGCTTAGAAGAATATCTGTACACGGCCGGGCACGGTGGCACACGCCTGTAATCCCAGCACTTTGGGAGGCCAAGGCAGGCGGATCACGAGGTCAGGAGATCAAGACCATCCTGGCTAACATGGTGAAACCCCGTCTCTACTAAAAATACAAAAAAATTAGCCGGGCGTGGTGGTGGGCACCTGTAGTCCCAGCTACTCGGGAGGCTGAGGCAGGAGAATGGCGTGAACCCGGGAGGCGGAGCTTGCAGTGAGCCGAGATCACGCCACTGCACACCAGCCTGGGCAACAGAGCAAGACTCCGTCTCAAAAAAAAAAAAAAAAAAAAAAAAGAATATCTGTACATAGGAGGTGCTAAATAATTAGTCTGAAGAGCCTAAGAGTATCCTGTTTTCAGTAGATGCTCACTAACATATATAAAGAAGGTACTCTAGATGTAGTCTAAAACATGGCTAGTATACTGCAGGTGCTCAATAATGAGCACACGGAGCTTAGTTGGATTGAAGCCCAGCAAAGCACGTGATGTAGGTAAAGCTGTCAGAAAGGCACACAGAGCCGCACATGGTGACAGCCCACAGTTGGCAGTCAATAATGTCTGTCCAGTGCCTGGCAGTGTTCAGCCCCCAGCGGACATGGAGTTAGCAGGCGAAACTGCTGGCATCATGTCCACACCCAGAGGACAAATGCAACTTCCGACAAAAGCAGCCAGCACATGGCTTGGAGGGAGCAAGGCAGGCAGATCACCACCACCACTGGGCACAGTCCAGAGCCAGGGTTCTGGGCAGCACAGGCTTCCATCACCGCATCCATGCTATGTGTGCTGCACGTGTCCCCAGAGCACTTGGCACAATGCATGGCCCATGGTGGGGGGTGGACAAAGCAGTGCCTGGCCCATGACAGGAGTTGTCAACAGAGAAGGTAATGCAGATACCACTGGGTCTGCACAGAGTGGAGGGCACTAGTCCACCCTCCATGCTCATTCTTCATTCTCCAATCTCTCTTCTCCATTCTCCGTACTCTATACTCCATTCTCCACCCTCCATTCTCCATATTCCACCCTCCATACTCATTCTCCATAGTCCACCCTCCATACTCATTGTCCGTGCTCCATGATGTATTCTCCATTCTCCAACCTCCATTCCCCATATTCCATTCTCCAACCTCCATTCTCCATATTCCACCCTCCATACTCATTCTCCATGCTCTATGCTATATTCTCCATTCTCCAATCTCCATTCCCCATATTCCATTCTCCATATTCTACCCTCCATTCTCCATATTCCACCCTCCATACTCATTCTCCATCATCCACCCTCCATACTCATTCTCCAACCTCCATTCTCCATCGTCCACCCTCCATACTCATTCTCCCTACTCCATTCTCCAACCTCCATTCCCCATATTTCACCCTCCATACTCATAGTCCATACTGCATTCTCCACCCTCCATTCTCCATGCTTTACTCTCCATTCTGCATGCTCCATTCTCCGTATTCCACCCTCCATACTCATTGTCCATGCTCCATGATGTATTCTCCATTCTCCAACCTCCATTCCCCATATTCCATTCTTCATATTCCACCCTCCATTCTCCAACCTGCATTCTCCATAGTCCACTCTCCGTACTCTAATCTTCATTCTCCATACTCCATACCCTACCTCCATTTTCCTTATTCCATTCTCCATTCTCCATACTCCATTCTCCAGAGTCCACTCTCCCTACTCTAACCTTCATTCTCCATTCTCCATACTCCATACTCCAACCTTCATTCTCCATACTCCATACCCAACCTCCATTTTCCTTAGTCCATTCTTCATTCTCCGTACTCCATAATCCATACTCCATTCTCCTTTCTCTGTACTCCATGCTCCATTCTCCTTTCTCCATTCTTCTTTCTCCATAGTTCATTCTTTATTCTCTTTTTTTCATACACCATACTCCATTCTCCATTTTCTCTTCTCTGTATGCCATTCTCCACAAACAGTTTTTCATTCTCCATACCTGTATTATATTCTGCATCCTCAATACTCTATTCTCTGTACTCCATTCTTAGTTCTGTTTTTTCATACTCCATCTCCATAATCTACAGTCCAGAATTCATTCTCCACTCTCCCTTTTTTAGACTCCACCCTCCAGACACCATTCTCTATTCTCCTTTCTCCATACTTCATTCTCCGTATTCCATTCTTTATACATTATTCTTCATTATTCATACCCTGTACTACATTTGCTATTCTCATTTCTTCATATTCCATACTCCATTCTCCATACATCATTCCTCTTCTCCATTTTTATCTTCTGTTCTTCATTATTCATACTCCATTTCCTTTTTCCATTCTCCATACACCATTCTTTATTCTCCATAAGCAACATTTCATTCTTCACTCTCCATACACCATGCTTCATTCTCCATAATACAGACTGCACATCAATTCTTTATTCTCCATTCTCCATACTCCAATCTTATTCTCCTTTCTCTATACTTCATTCTCCATCCCCATTCTCCATTCCTTATACTTAATTCTTCAATCGTCATTCTTCATGCTCCATTCACTATTTTCCATTCTGCCTACTCCATTCTTCCTTCTCCAGACTCCATACTGCATGCTCCCTTTTCGATTCTCCTTCCTCCACACCTCGTTCTCCATACTTCATTCTGTTCTTCATACTTCATTCTTCGTCGTGAATCCTCCATTCTCTATTCTCCATTCTTAATTATCCATACTGTATACCCCCAGAATCCATGTTCCATTCTCCATTTTTCATATTCCGTTCTCCAAACACCATTCTCCATGTTTTTTTCTCTCAATAATCCATTCTCCATACACCATTCTCAGTTCTTCATTCCCCATACTCTGTTCTTCTTTCTCCATAATCCATTATCTACATACCATTCTCCATTTTCCTTTCTCCATTTCTTTCTCTCTCTCTCTCTCCTTCCTTCCTTCCTTTCCTTCTTTCCTTCTTTCCTTCTTCCTTTCCTTTCCTTTCCTTTCCCTTCCCTTCCCTTCCCTTTCCTTTTCTTTCTTCTTTTCTTTCTTTCTTTTTTGAGACAGAGTCTCGCTCTGTCTCCCAGGCTGAAGTGCAGTGGCGAGAACTATTTGCAGTGGTTCAAACTATTCTCCTGCCTCAGCCTCCTCAGTAGCTGGGAATACAGGCATGCACCAATTTTTACATTTTTAGTAGAGACGGGGTTTCACCATGTTGGCCAGGCTGGCCTTGAACTGCTGGCCTCAAATGATCCACCTGCCTCAGCCTCCCAAACTGCTGGGATTACAGGTGTGAGCCACCATGCCCAGCTCCTTTATCCATTTCTATATCCCATTCTTCATTCTTAATACTTCATTCTCCATTCTTCTTTCTCCATACACCGTACTTTGTTTTCCAATTTCATTCTTCATACTTGATTCTACATAATTTATATTTCAGATTCCATTTTCCATTGTTTTTTCTCCATTCTCCAAACTCCAAACTTCATACTTCATTCTCAAATCTCCTTCCTTCATATTCCGTACTCCATTCTTTATACACCATTCTCGGATCTCCATTTTTTCATTTTCCACAGTCCATTCTTCATACTTCATACTGCATTCTCCACTCTTCGTTTTCCAGTCTCCATGCTGCATTCCCCATACTCCATATGTTATTCACTGCTCTTCATTTTCCATACTCCATACTCCATACTCCATACTGAATTCTATATTCTTTTTTTTGAGATAGAGTTTCGCTCTTGTTGCCCAAGCTGGAGTGCAATGGCATGATCTTGGCTCACCACAACCTCCGCCTCCCGGGTTCAAGCAATTCTCCTGCCTCAGCCTCCCATGTAGCTGGGATTACAGGCACCCACCACCAAGCCTGGTTAATTTTTTGTATTTTTAGTAGAGATGGGGTTTCACCATGTTGGCCAGGCTGGTCTTGAACTCCTGACCTCAGGTGATCTGCCCACCTTGGCCTTCCAAAGTGCTGGGATTACAGGCGTGAGCCACCACCCCCAGCCCTACATTCTTTTTTCTTTACACTCCATTCTCTATACACCATTCTGCATTCTCCATTTTCTATTCTCTATACTCCATATTTGACACTCTGTTGTGCATTCTGTATTCTCCATACTCCTTACTCCTTTTTATGTACTCTATAAGCTCCTTACTCCTTTCTACATACTCTATAATTTACACTACATTTTCCATTCTCCTATCTTTATACCCCATTCACCATACACAATTCTCTATTCTCCATGCTCCATTCTTGGTGCTCCATTCTTCATTTTCCATCTTCCATTCTCTTATCTCCATACTCCAGTCTCCATACTCCATAGCTCATACTCCATTCTCCTTTCTCCATCTTCATTCTCCATACATTATTCTTCATTTTGCATTTTTCCCTCCATTCTTTTTACTCATATCCCATTCTACTTTTTCATATTCCATTCTTCGTGCACAGTTTTTTATTCTCTATACATCATTCTCCATCCTTCCTACACTATTCTCCATGCACCAGTCCATTCTCCATTTTTCCATTCTCCATATTTCATGCTCTATATCCTACCGTTCATTCTCCATTCTCCATACTCCATATCTCACACTCCATTCTCCATCCTCTTTCTTTATACTCCGTTCTCTCTATACACTCTTCTCCATTCTCCATTTTTATAATCCATTCTCCATTTTCCTTCCTTCATACTTCATACTCCAGTCTCCACATACCACCCTCCATTTTTCTATTTGGTATACTCTATTCATTATACTACATACCTCATCCATCATTCTGTTTTCACCTTAATCAATTCTCTGTATGTCCTTCTTCGTTCTCCATACTTCAAACTTCATTCTTTTTTCTCTGTACTCTATTCTCTGTACCATTCTCCATTCTCAATTCTTCATTCTCCTTTCTCTCTCTTTTTTTTTTATTTTTTATTTTTTGAGATGGAGTCTTGCTCTGTCACCCAGGCAGTGCAGTGGCATGATGTCTGCTCACTGCAACCTCCACCTCCTGAGTTCAAGTGATTCTTCTGCCTCAGCCTCCTGAGTAGCTGGGATTACAGGTATGCACCACCATGCCTGACTAATTTTGTATTTTTAGTAGAGATGGGGTGTATTAGTCAGGGTTCTCTAGAGGGACAGAACTAATGGAATATATATATTCCACAATAGGCCATCTGCAGGCTGAGGAGCAAGGAGAGACAGTTTGAGTTCCAAAACTGAAGAACTTGGAGTCCAATGTTCAAGGGCAGGAACCATCCAACACAGAAGAAAGATGTAGGCTGGGAGGCTAGGCCAGTCTCTCTTTTCACAATTTTCTGCCTGCTTATATTCTGGCCTTACTGGCAATTGATTAGATTCTACCCATCAAGATTAAGGGTGGGTCTGCCTTTCCCAGCCCACTGACTGAAATGTTAATCTCCTTTGGCAGCACCCTCAGAGACACACCCAGGATCAGTACTTTGTATCCTTCAATCTAATCAAGTTGAAACTCAGTTTTAATCACCACACAGGGTTTTACCATGTTGGCCAGGCTGGTCTCCAACTCCTGACCTGAAGTGATCCTCCTGCCTCGGCCTCCCAAAGTGCTGGGATTACAGGCATGAGCCACCACACCTGGCCTCCATTATCTTTTCTCTATCCGACATTCTTCATTCTTTTTTCTCCATACACCTTGCTCCATTCTCCACTTTTCTTTCTCCATACTTCATTCTCCATTTTACACACTCTGTACTACATTCTCCATTTTGAATACTTCATTGTATATATGCCGTTCTTAATTCTCCTCTCTCCATATCCCATTCTTTATACTCCACCCTCCATTTTTATACTCTGTACTCCAGAATTTATTCTCCATTCCCCGTTTTTATACTTCATTTGTTAAACAGTATTGTCGTTCTCTTTAAAAAAAATCTCCATACTCCATCTCAGCTCACCATTCTTAATTTTCTATTCTCCATATTTCATACTTTGTTCTCCTTCTTTCTCCATACTCCACTCTCCATATACAGTTCTCCATTTTTCAAACACCATTCTCCTTTCTCTATTTCTAGACTCTATTCTCCATTCTTCATCATCCATACTACATTCTTCATTCTTATTTTTCCATTTGCCATACTTAATTCCTCATTTTTTGTTAACCATGCTTCATTCTTCATCGTCTATTATCTATACTTCATTTTCCATGCATCATTCTCCATACTCCATTCTTCATACTTTATACCTCACACTCCATTCTCTATTCTTTGTCCATACTGCATTCTCCATACATTATTTTTTCTATTCTCCATTTTTTCATTTTCCTTAGTTCATTCTTCATACTCTATACTCCATTGTTTACACACCATTCTCTATTCTTCATACTAATTTCTCCGTACTTCATACTCCTAACTACATTTTGTGATCTTTTTACCACATTCCATTCTCTATACACTCTTCTGCATTCTCCATTTTTCATTCTCCATTCTTCTTTCTCCCTTCTCCATTCTTCAAGCACCATACTCCACCCTCTATTTTTCATTCTTTGTAATCCATTCTTTACTCAGTACTGTCTATTCTCCATACTGCATTCTTCAAACCCCATTCTTCATTCATTATTGTCCATACTTCATACTCCATTGTCTATTCTCCTTTCTCTGTATTCCATTCTCTCTTTTTTCTTCATTCTCTATACATTATTTCTATACTTCATTCTCCAACTCCGTTCCTAATACTTTATTCTCCATACTCCATGCCCCATTCTCTTTTCTTTGCACACAATGTAATATTCTTTGCTTTCTATTCTGCATATTTCGTTCTCCACCCATCATTCTTCATTCTCTATATTTCATTCATCACTTTCCCTTCTCCATACTCCAGTTTCCATTCTTTATACTTTGTACTCTAGAATCCATTCTTCGTTTTTCCATATGTCATTCTCCAAACACCAGTCTTCATTCTCCTTTTTCTGTACTCAATTCTCCAAGCACCGATCTCCATTCTCATTTCTCTTACTCCATATCCATTCCCATACACCATACTCATTCTCCACTTCTGCTTCATTCTTCATTAACTTTTCTCCATACATCACACTTCTTTCTCCATTTTGTATTCTCAACACCTCATTTCTCATACACCATTCTCCATTCTCTATACTCCATACCTCACATTTCATACTTCATTCTTTATTTTTCTCCATACTCCATTTTCCACACTCCATACTCCATTTTCCACACTCCATACTCCGTATTGCGCTTTATGTTCTCCTTTCTCCATACTCCATTCTCTATACACCATTATGCATTCTCTATTTTCCTTTCTTTATATGTCATTATCAACACTCCATAATCCATATTCCACACTCCATTCTTCATTCTCCTTTCTCCATACTCCATTCTTTTTACTCCATATTCCATTTTCCTTTCTTCATCCTCCATTTTCATTCTTCTTTCTGCGTAGTTAATTCTTTATGCACTATTCTCCGCTTTCCATTGTCCATATATAATACTCCATTCTCCTTTCTCCATACTCAATTCTTCGTATGCCATGATTCATTCTTCACATGGCATTCTTCCTTCTTTTTACATACTACATTCTCCATACATAATACTTACCTATTTTAAATTATCCTTAGTCTATTCTTAATACACCCTTTTTTATTCTCTCTACTATATTCTTCATTCTTCATACTTCTTTCCAATCTCCATATTTCATACTTGATACTCCATTCTCCCTTCTCCATATCCCATTTACATACACTGTTCTCAATTCTCCAAACTTCACTCTCCTTTCTCTATACTCCATTCTTATACATCATTCTCCATTCTTCATTCTGTATATTCCATGCTAAATTCTCCAATCTCAATTTATCCTTTCTCCATACTCCATTCCCCATACACCATTCTTCATTCTCCATTTTTCATTCTCCATAATCCTTATCCCATTCTCCACATACCATTATTCATCCTCAATTTTCCATTCTTTATACTTAATTTCTCATACTCCACACTTCATATTTCATTCCCTTTCTTATTTCTTCATATTCTATTCTCTGTATACCATTCTTCATTATTCATATTCTGTAATTCATACACCATTCTCCTTTGTCCATACTCCTTTCCTCATTCTCCATACTTCATATTTTATTCCCTTTCTTGTTTCTTCATATTCTGTTCTCTGTATACCATTCTTCATTATTCATATTCTGTAATTCATACACCATTCTCCTTTGTCCATACTCCTTTCCTCATTCTCCATACTTCATATTTCATTCCCTTTCTTGTTTCTTCATATTCTGTTCTCTGTATACCATTCTTCATTATTCATATTCTGTAATTCATACACCATTCTCCTTTGTCCATATTCCTTTCCTCATACACCATTCACCATTCCTTATACTCCATATTCTATTTCTTTTCTCCATAGTCCATTCTTTAAACAGCATTGTCTATTCTCCATTCTCCATCTTTATTTTCCATTCTTTATTCCCCTTTCTCCACACTTTGGCTTTCATACACCATACTTCATTATATGTACACTATTCTTCATTGTCTATTCTCCATACTCCACACTCCATTTCCATACATCATTCTCCATACATTGTTCTCCATTTTCTATACTTTATAGTCTATTCTCCACACTCTGTTATCCTTTCTTCATTCTAATTATCCTTTCTCCACATTCCGTTCTCCATCCTCCATACACCATTCTTTATTCTCTATACTCCATTCTCTTTTCTCAATTCTTCATTCTCCATATAATATTCTTCATTCTCCACACTCTGTTGTCCATCCTTTATACTCAATTCTCCATTCTCATTTCTTTATGCATGACGCTTCATTCTTCCTTTTCCATTCTTCATACTCCATTCCTCATACTTCATACTTTATTCTTCTCCTTTTTTCTTCATACTTCACTCTTCACATCCATAATTGATTCTTCTTTCTCCATTTTTATTCTCTATACCCTACTCTCCATTCTCCGTTTTTTATATATCATTGTTCAATCTCATTCTTTATGCTCCATTCTCCATACTTCATACTTTATACACCATTTCCCGTTCTTCTTTCTCCATTTATTATTCTCCATACACCATTTGTATTCTCTTTTCTTCATACTATATTCTTTGGTATCCTTTCTCCATTCTCCATTTTCCACACATCATTTTCTATTTTCCATACTCTCTTCTCTAGCTCCTTTCTTCATTCTTCATACATTATACTGCAATCTGTTTTCTCCATATTCCATTGTCCATTCTCCATTCTTCATATTCCATTAACCCCTCCTTTTCCTTTATTCTGCATTCTGCATTGACAACACCCATTCTCCATTCTCCATACACCATTCTCCATTCTTCTGTCTTCTTTCTCCATACCTCATTTTCCATACACCATTCTTCATACCACATTTTCTCATTCTCAATAATCTCTTATTTATTTATTTAAGACAGAGTTTCACTCTGTCACCCAGGCTGGAGTGCAATGGCACAATCTCGGCTCACTGCAACCTCCATCTCCCAGGTTCAAGTGATTCTCCTGCCTCAGCCTCCCAAGTAGCTGGGATTACAGGTGCCTGCCACCACACCTGGCTAATTTTTGAAGTTTTAGTGAGATGGGGTTTCACCATGTTGGCCAGGCTGGTCTCGAACTCCTGACCTCAGGTGATCCATCCGCCTTGGCCTCCCAAAATGCTGGGATTACAGGTGTGAGCCACCCAGCCAGGGCTTATTTCTTATTCTTTATTCTTTGTACCTTATTCTCCATTCTCCATACACCATTCTGTATTCTGTTTTCTCCATATCCAATCTCCATTCTTTTTTCTCCATCCCCCATTATCCATACACTATTCTCTATACCACACTCTCTCATTCTCAGTAATTCATTTGTTATTCCTTATTCCCCATTCTTTGTACCTTATTCTCCATTCTCCATACTTCATTCTTAATTCTCATTTCTTTATATTCTATACTACATTCTCCGTACACTATTTTCCATACTTCATTCTTATTTCTTCATTATCCATACTTTATACTGCAGTCTTGTTTCTCCATACTCCATACACAATTCTCCATTCTTCATATTCCATTCTCCATTCCTCTTTCTTCATATTGCATTCTCCATATGCCATGCTTTTTTCTTCATACTCTGTTCTCCATATGCCATTCACCATTCTCCATTTTCTATTATCTAAACATTATTCTCCATAATACATACTCCTTATTCCATTGTTCATTCACTTTTCTCCCTACTCGATACTCTCACACTTTTCTGCATTCTCCATACTCCATTCTCCATATTTCAAACTTTATACACCCTTCTCAATTCTCTTTACTCTAGAGTCTATTCCCCATATACCATTCCCCATTCTTCATTTTCCACAGTCCATTCTTCATTCTTTTATCTTCACACATCATTCTCTATAAACACGTCTCCATTTTTTATTATTTATATTGCATTTTCCATACCCCATACACCCAATCTTTATTCTTCTTTCTCTATACTTAATTCTCCATACATCATTCGTCATTCTTCATACACAATTCTCCATACTCTATTCTTCATTCTTCTCTCTCTGTATTCTCTCCTTCATATACTATTCTTTATTCTGCATTTTCCATTCTTCATCCTCTATACTCTATACTTCATTCTCCATTCCCCATACTCCATTCTCCACACTTTTTATCTTTTCTCCTACTTCAACCTGTTACACTATTTTGCATTTTTTATTCTACATCCTGCATTCTCCAAACATTGTTCTCTGTACTTTATTTTCTCTTCTCATTTCTCTATATTCTATTTCCATACTTCATTCTTTACACACCATTCTCCATTTTTCATTTCCATAATTTGGTCTACATACTCCATACTTTATTCTTCGTTTTTTATATTCATCCTTCAGACTCCATGTTCTTTTTTCCTCTTACTACACATCATTCTCATAAACCATTCTCCATTTTCCATTCTCCTGACTCCATTCTACATACTCCATACTTCATACTTAATTTGTCTCTCTTCATACTTCATTCACTGTTCTCCATACTCCTTTCTTCATTCTTTCTTAATATGCCGTTCTCCATATGCCGTTCTTTATTCTCCATTTTTCATCCCCCGTTCTTCTTTGTCCATATTACATTCTCTATATTCCATTTTTCTTTTATTCTTTCTCATCCATACTCCTTTTTCTATGCTTCATCACTATACTCCATTACTTATTTTCTCTCCTCATCGTCCATTTTTTATACTCCATTCTCAATTCTCCGTGCATCATTCTCCATACTCCATACTTCTTTCTCCATAGTCATTCTGTCTACTCCAGTCTTCTTCCCCCTCTCTCCTCTCATTATACTCCATCGTTCATACTTTATTGTCCTACTGCTTTCTCCATACTCCATTCTCTATACATAATTCTCATTCTCCATTTTCCATGAGTATGAAGATTCTCATTCTCCATACTTTATTCTCTGTACACCATTGTCTATTCTCCATTTTCCATTCCCCATACTCCATTCTCCAACTTCATTCTTTGTTTTATATTCTCTGTTCTCATTTCATCATGCTCCATTCTCTATACTCCATTTTTTCTGTATATTCTATTCTCCATACACCTTTGTTCATTCTCTATCAGTCTCCATACTGTTTTCCATACTCTATACCCATAGTTCAATCCTCATTCTTCTTTCTCCATAATCATCCTCCATATACCATTGTTCATACTCCATTCTTTATATCCCAAACTCTGTTCTTTTCTTTCTATATTTTATTTCCCATATGCCCTCCCCCATTCTCTACTTTTCATTCTCCTTTCTTTATTCTTCATTCATTATACATTATTCTCTATTCTTTTTTCTCCATACTTCATTCTTCACCTTTTGTCTCCATACTTCATTATCTATACATCATTTTCTCCTTTTTATTTTTCATTCTCCATAATTTATTCTTTATATACCATTCTCCATTCTTCACTCTCCATTTTCTTTTCTCCATACTCTTTTCTTCATACTCCATTCTCTTTTCTTCATACCCCGTGCTCCATACTCCATGCACCATTCTCCATTCTCTATTTCTCATCCAACATTCTTCAGTCTCCATTTCACATTCTCATGCTTTATTCTCCACATTCCACACTCCATCCTCTCTTCTCAATACTTTTCCCTCTATACATTAATCTCCATTCTGTATTTTCCACTCTTTATACTGCATAAACCACACTCCTTCCTTCTTTCTCCATACTCCAATCTCCTTACACCATTCTCCACTCTTCATTTTTTGTACCCCATTCTTCATTCTCCAAACCTTATTCTTTATACTTCATTCTCTCTAGTCTTGTCTCCATACTCCATTTTCTATACTTCATTCTCCTTTCTTCATACCTTATTCTTTATATACGATTCTACATTCTACACTTTTTCAGCTTCATACTTCATTCTCCCTACTATATACTCCATACTTTGTTCTTCATTCTTCACACTTGTTCTCCATACTCCATTTCCTTTCTGGCTCCAACTATACACCATTTTTCCATATGCCATTCCCCTTTCTCCTTTTTCCACACTTCTTTCTTCATACACCATTCTTCATTCTTCATACTACATATGCTGTTCTTTTCCTTTATAGTCTATTCTTTATATAGCATTGTCTTGTCTCCCCCCTCCATGCTCCACTCTTTATTCTCTATTCCCCCTTCTCCATACTTTGATATCTATACACCATTCTGTATTCTCCATAGTCGATACTCAATACTCCATACTCTATTCTCCGTTCCCAATTCTACATACTTTATTCTGCATACACCATTCTTCTTCTCTTCCCTCTATACTCTGGTTTTCATACTCTATTATCATTTCTTCATTCTAATCATTCTTTCTCCAGATACCATTCTTTATTCACTATACTCATTTCTTCATTCCCCTTTCTCATACTCCATTTTCCATTCTCAATACTTTATTATCCATTCTTCTACTTCATTCTCCATTCAACACTCCCCATTCTCTATTATTTATAATCCATTCACCATATTCTATACTCCATACATCATTAGCAATTTTAATCTATATTTTATTCTCCACACACCATTCTTTTTTCTCCATGCTTCATACTATATTCCTCATTCTCCATTGTCTATACTACATTCTCTATACTCAATACTTCATGCTTCCTTCTCCATATTCTATTCTTCATGTTTCATATTCCACATTCCAAACTTCATTCGCCATTTTCCATACAATATAGTTTATACTTTATTCTCAATCTTATTTCTTCATAACCCATTCTCCATTCACCATTGTCCATTCTTCATTCCCCTTTCTTCATACTTTATTGTTTGTACACTATTGTCCATTCTCCATTTTCATACTTCGTTCCTTCTTTTCCATACACCATTCTCCATTTTTCATTCTCCCTGCTCTGTTCTCCACACTCCCTTCTCCATTCTTTTTTCTCCATATTCCATTCTCCATACAACATTCTCCACATTTTATGCCCCGTTCTTCATTCTCATTTTTTGTTTTTTGAGACAAAATCTCACTTTGTCGTCCAGGCTGGAGTGCAGTGGTGCGACCTTGGCTCACTACAATCTCTGCCCTGGGTTCAAGGGATTCTCCTGCCTCAACCTCCCAAGTAGCTGGGATTACAGGTGCCTGCCACCACGCCTGGCTAATTTTTGTATTTTTAGTAGTGACGGGGTTTCACCATGTTGGTCAGGCTGGTCTCGAACTCCTGACCTCAAACCATCCACCCGCCTTGGCCTCTCAAAGTGCTGGGATAACAGGTCTGAGCCACCGCGCCTGGCCCATTCTCATTTTTTTACGCATTACACTCCATTCTTCCTTTTATGTTATTTATACGCCATTCCCTATACTCTGTATTTTATACTTTATTCTTATTCTCATTTCTTCATACTCCATTCTCCATTCTTCATATCTATAATTTATTGTTTTTCTCCATTCTTCATTCTCCATACCCTACTCTCCATTCTCTATGTTCCATACACCATTATCTAATCTTCACTCTTTATGTTTCATTCTCCATAGTCCACATTTTATACACTGTTTCTTATTCTTCTTTCTCCATTCATTATTCTTCATACACCATTTTTAATTCTCCATGCTCCATACTATATTCTTCATTATCCTTTCTCCATTCTTTATTCTCTATACACCATTTTCCATTCCCTGTACTCTATTCTTTTGCTCCTTTCTTCATTTGTCATTCTCTGTACATAATATTCCAATCTGTTTTCTCCACATTCTATTCTCTATAAACCATTCTTCATATTCCATTCCCCCTCCTCTTTTTTCAAACTACATTCTGCATTCACAACATGCCATTCTCCACATACCATTCTCCATACTTTAATCTTCAGTCTCAATTCTTCTTTATTCATACTCTATTTTCCATACACCATTCTCCATACAACATTCTCTCATTCTCAGTAATCAATTCTTTATACCTTATTCTTCATTCTTTATATTTCATTCACAATTCTCATTTCTCCATATTCTATACAACATTCTCCATACTCCTTTCTCCATACTTTATACTCCAATCTCATTGCTTTATACTTTACTCTCCATAAACCATTCTTCATTCTTTATATTCCATTCGCCATTCCTCTTTTTTCATACTACATTCTCCATGCTCCGTGTTTCATCTTCCACACTCCATTCCTTATTCTTTTTTCTCCATACACCATTCACCAGACGCAGTTCTCCATTTTTCATTTTTTATACTGTATTTCCCATAGTTCATACTTTATACACTAGTTTTTATTCTCTTTTCTTCCATAATCCATTCTCCATATACTGTTCTCCATTCTCCATACACCATTCTCCATACTCCATTTTTATACTTCGTACTCCAATCTCCATTTTCCTCTTTCCATACTTCTTCATACACTTTTTTCCATTCTCCTTTCTTTATTCTCCATACTCTATATAATAATACTCCATACTTCATTCTCCTTTCTTCATACTTCATTCTCAATACTCCATTCATTTCTCCATTTTCCATTCTCAATACTTCATTCTGAAAACTTTATTCTCTATATTCCCTGCTCTGTTTTTCTTTTTCCATGCCTATTCTTCATACTTCATCCTTTTTCCTTCATACTCCATTATCCACACACTATTCTCCATTCTCCATTTTCTCACCTCCATTCTCTATTCTTCATTTTTTTACATACGCCACTCTTTATACATCATTTTTCATTGTCCATACTGCATACTCCATACTCCATTCTGTTTTCTCTTTAATTAATTTTATATACACCAATCTTTATTCTCCATACTCCATTCTCTATTCTACTTTCTTCATATTCCATTTGTTACACAGCAGTCTCCATTCGCTTTTCTCCATACTCCATTATTCACTATTTTCTCCGTATGCCATTGTCCATACACCATTTCTATCATACATTTTTCATTCTCTATATTCCACCTCTATACACTGTTCTCCATATTTCATTTTTCATACACCATTCTCCTTTCTTCATATTTCATACTACATACATCATACACCATTCTCTATTCTTCTTTCTTTATTCTCCATTCTGCCTACAACGTTGTCTATTCCAAATTGAACATCCTTCATGTTCCGTTCTCCATTGTCCTCTCTCCATACCTTCTCCTTCATACACCATTCTTCATTTTGAATTTTCCATTTTTCATCCTCCATCCTCCATACTCCATAATCATACTTCATACTCCATATTTCATTCTTCTTTCTCTATACTCCGTAATACACACTTCTTTCTCCTTTCTCCATACTTCAATCTCCTTACATAATTCAGCATTTTAAATTGCCCATACTCCATTCTCCAATCATCATTCTCTATATTTTGTTCTCTCTTCTTTTTTTATACTATATTTTCCATACTTAATTCTCCTTTCTGCTTTCTCCATACGCTATTTTTTATACACCATTTTCCATTTTTTTTGTCTCTGCACTCAGGTCTACATACTCCATACTTTGTTCTTCATTTTTCATACTCATTCTTTATACTCCATGTTCTTTCCCCCTCTCACTATACACCCTTCTTCATGCACCACTCTCCATTTTTCCTTCTCTCAGCTCCATTCAACATATTCCATACTCCATACTCCATTCGTCATATGCCAGCTCCATTCTCCATTCTTCATACTCCTTTCTCCATTCTCTTTTTTTCTCTTCTCCATACTCTATTCCCCTTTCTCCTTTGTTAATGCTTTATTCTCCATATGCCATTCTTCATTTTCCATCCTCCATTCTACTTTGTCCACATTCCATTCTCCGTATTCAGTTTTCCTCTATTCTCCATGCTCCTTTTCCATCCTCCATTTGCTATATTCCATTGCTCATTCTCCTCTCCTCATAGTCCATTCTCTATACTTTATTCTCAGTTCTCCATGCACCATTCTCCATATTCTTCTTCTTTCTCCATAGTCTTTTTTTTTTTTTTTTTTTGAGATGGAGTCTCACTCTGTCACCCAGGCTGGAGTGCAATGGCACAATCTCAGCTCAAGGCAACCTCTGCCTCCCGGGTTCACGCCATTCTCCTGCCTCAGCCTCCTGAGTAGCTGGGATTACAGGCCCGCGCCACCACGCCCGGCTAATTTTTGTATTCTTAGTAGAGATGGGGTTTCACCATGTTGGCCAGGCTGGTCTCGAACTCCTGGTCTCAAGTTATCTGCCCGCCTCGGCCTCCCAAAGTGCTGGGATTACAGGCGTGAGCTGCTGCGCCCAGCCTCGATAGCCATTTTGCATGCTCCACTTTCTTTTTTCCCTCCATTATACTTCAACGTCCTTACTGCTTTCTCCATACTCCATTCAATATACGTGATTCTCAATTCTCCATTTTCCATTTTCTATACTTTATACTTCTTTCTCTGTAGGTCATAGTCTATTCTCCATTTTCATTCCCCATACTCCATTCTCCAAATTTTATTCTCTACATTTTTTCTCTTTTCTCCTTTTGCCATGCTGCATTCTCCACACTTCACTCTTTTTTCTCTATATTCCATTCTCCATACACCATTGTCCATTCTCCATTTTTCAATTTCCATAATGTTTTCCATACTCTGTACCCATAGTTCAATATTCTTCTTTCTCCACAATCCATTCTCCATACTCCATTTTTCCTTCTCCATTATTTATTTATTTATTAATTTAATTGAGACAGGATCTCGCTCTGTCGCCCAGACTAGAGTGCAGTCGTACAATCTCGGCTCACTGCAACCTCCACCTCCTGGGCTCAAGCAATCTTCCTACCTCAGTCTTCTGTGTAGCTGAGACTACAAGTGTGTGCCACCATGCCCAGCTAATTTTTGTATTTTTTGTAGAGACGAGGTTTTGCCATATTGCCCACTCTGGTCCCAAACTCTAGGGCTCAAGGGATTCACTCACCTTGGTCTCCCAAAGTGCTGGGAATACAGGCTTCAGCCACCACTCCCGACCTCTCCATTCTTTATACTTCACACTCCATGCTTTTTTCTCTATACTTTATTCCCCATATACCTTCGTCCATTCTCCATTCTTCATTCCCCTTTTTACATTCTCCATTCATTACACACCATTCGCCTTTCTCTCTTCTTCACACTCCGTACTTCATTCTCCACTCTTTTCTCCATACTTCCTTATCTATGCTCCAGTCTCTACTCTCCATTCTCTATTCTCCAGTCTTCATTCTCCATTCTCTTTTCACCATACTCCATACTCCATTCTCTACTCCTCATACAACATTCTTCAGTCTCTATTTCAAATTCTCCACACTCCACACTCTATTCTCCATTCTCTTCTCTCCATCCTTTCCCCTCCACACATCATTCTCTATTGTGGATTTTCCATTCTTCATATTCCACACTCCTTTCTTCTTTCTCCATACTCCAATTTCTTTATACCCTTCATTTTCATACCCATACTCCATTCTCCAAACCTTATTCTTTATACTCCATTCTCTCTTGTCTTTTCTCCGCACTCCTTTCTCCTTTCTCCATGCTTCATTCTTTATACACCATTCTCCATTCTCCATTTTTTTCATCTCTATACTCCATTCTTTATACTACATGCTCCATGCTTGGTTCTTTGTTCTTCATACTCATTCTGCACCCTCCATTTCCTTTTCTGCTCTCAGATACACCACTTTTCATACACCATTCTCCATTTTCATAGTCTATTCTCCATACATCATGGCCTATTCTCCATTCTCTTTCTCCATGCTTTATTCTCCATACATCATTCTCCATTCTCCTTTCTTGGTTTTTCATTCTTTATATTCCATTCTTTTTTTTTTTTCTTTTTGAGATGGAGTCTTACTCTGTCATCCAGGCTGGAGTGCAGTGGCGTGATCTCAGCTCACTGCAACCTCCGCCTCCCAGATTCAAGTGATTCTCCTGACTCTGTCTCCCAAGTAGCTGTGATTACAGGCAAGCACTGCTATGCCCAGCTAATTTTTGTATTTTTAGTAGAGATGGGGTTTCACCATGTTGGCCAGGCTGGTCCTGAACTACCGACCTCAAGTGATCCGCCTGCCTCGGCCTCCCAAAGTGCTAGGATTACAAGCGTGAGCCACTGCACCTGGACTATTTTCAGTTCTTTTATTATTTGATTATCATTACTCCATTCTTCATTATTTATACTGCATTCTCCGTTCAACACTCTCCATTCTTCATTCTTTCTGTTCCATTCTCCATACTCTATACGCCATATACAATTCCCCATTCTTCATTTTACATACTTTATTCTCCATACACTATTCTTTTTCTCTATTCTCTGTACTATGTTCTTTATTCTCCTTTCTCCATACTCTATTCTCTGTACACCATTCTCAATTTTCCATACTCCATATTTCATGTTTCTTTCTCCATAAACCATTCAGCATACACCATGCACCATATTCCAGACTCACTTCATTTTCCATACTTCATGCGTTATACTTCGCTATTCTCATTCTCCTTTCTACACACTCCGTTCTCCACACACATTTTTCTTTTTCATTCTCTACGTGCCATACTCCATTCTCTTTTCTCCATACTTCATTTTTCATACACTATTCTCCATATCCCATTCTTCATTCTTCTTTCTCCATACTCTATTCTCCACACACCATTCTCCATATTTTATGCCCCATTCTTCGTTCTCAATTCTTTATACACCATGCTCCATTCTCCTTTTTCTATTCTCCATTCCCCATATTCCATACTTACTTAATACTTAATTCTCATTCTTTTTTCTCACACCTCATTCTCTATACACCATTCTCAATGCTCCATATTCCACACTTTATTCTCTTTTCTTCATATTTCATTCTCCCTACTCTATTCTTTATTCCCCATTTACTATACTCCACTCTCCATCTTCCATATACCATTCTCTAATATCCATTCTTTACGTTCCCTTCTCCATACTCACTCCATACACAATTCTCCACTCTTCTTTTTCCATACTTTATTCTTCATACACAATTCTTTATTCTTTGTTCTCTGTACAATATTCCTTATTCTCCATTCTCCAGGTCAGTTCTCCATAAGCCATTCTTCATACTCTATACTCCATTTTTCTTTCTTCTAACTCCATTCTGCATATACCATACTCCATTTTTCATTCTCCATACTTCATATTCCTGACTCCAACCTCCATTCTCAATTCCCCCACTACATAATGTACGCATTATTCTCATTCTGCTTTCTCCATACTCCTTTCTCCATCATCAATCTCTGTATTCAATACTTTATTCTTTTTTCCATACTTCATTCTCCATACATTATCATCCATTCTCCATTTCCCTTACTCTTTATTCATTCTCCATCCACCATTTTCCATTTTACATACTCTATATTCTTCATTACCCATTTGCATACTTTATATTTCAATCTGAAGTTTTCATATTCCATTCTCCATAAACCATTATGTATTCTTCATATTCTTTTCTCCATTCCTCTTTCTTCATACACAATACTTTATTCTATATATACCATTCTTCATTCCCCTTTCTGTACACCATTCTCCATGCTCTATACTTCTCTATAAATTCTCCATATTCCGTACTTTATTCTCAATACTCTTTCTCCACACTCTATACTACATTCTCCATACAATACGCTCCATTCTCCATACTCTATTCTCAATCTCTATTCCTCATATTTTATACTCCAGTCTGGTTTCTCCATACTTCATTCTCCATAAACTATTCTCTATTTTCCATTTTTCATATCCCATTCTCCATTCCTGTTTCTTCATACTACATTCTGCATTTTCAATACTCCATACTTTATACATCATTCTCCATTCTCCCTCACCTATAGTTCATTCTCCATACACCATTCTCCATTTCCATTCTTCAAACTCCTTTCCCCACAATCACACTCCAAATTCCCTCCCCCTTTCTGCATTCTCCATTCTGTATACTTTATACTCCACACTGCTTTTTCCATACTCTAATCCCCTTATACCCTTCTCCATTTTTCATATCCCAGTCTCCATTCTCCAAACATTATTCTTTATACTCCATTATCTCTTCTTCGTCTATACTCCATTTTCCATATTCCATTCTCCTTTATCTGTACTGCATTCTTTATATACCATTTTTCATTCCACATTGCATTTTGTAATCTTCACATTCCATATGCCATATTCTATGCCTTTTTAAAATTATTCATACTCATTCTCCAAACTCCATTTTCTTTTCCCCTCTCACTATACGCCATTCTCTGTACACCATCCTCTGTTCTTAATTTTCCATTCTTCTGATTTCATTCTACATACCCAATACTCATTCTTCTCTTTTCATACTTTGTTCTCCTCCAACAACTTCATTCCCCATTTTCCATTCTCCATACTCCATTTTTATATCCCACATTTCACACTCCATTCTCTTCCCCCCATGCTCCATTCCTTATACAACATTTTCTATTCTCCATTCTCTCTTTTGGATTCCACACTCCACTCTCCATAAACCATACTCCATACACCATTCTCCATTCTCCTTTTTTTGCACTCCTCCTCATATTCCATTCTCCATTCTTTCTTCATTCTTCATGTTCTATTCTCCATACTCCATTCTTCACACACCATTGTTCATTCTCCATACTCTATGTTCCATTCTTTTTTCTTCATACTCCGTTCTACATACACCATTTTAAATCTCTGTTTTCTGTTCTCCATAGTTTATTATCTTTACTCCATTCTCCTTTCTCCACACTCTTCTCCATATTTTATTCTTCTTTTTCTTTTGTCATATTCCATTATTCGTACTCCTTTCTCCATACACCATTTTCCATTTTCCTTACTCTATACTTTGTTCTCCATTGTCTGTACACCATTCTGTACTGTCCATTCTGGATTCTCCATACTCCATAAACCATATTTCATACTCCATTCTCCACACATTACTCTTTACTCTCACCGTGCTCCTTTCTCCATTCTCCTTTCTTCATATCCCTCTTCGTATGCCATTCTTCATTCCTCATTTTCTATTCTTCATCCTCCATTCTTCATACACTGTTGTCCATTCTTCATTTTTTATTCTCCATACTCTATAATCCATTCTTCTTTCTTCATATGCCATTTTACATACACCATTCTTTATTCTCCATTTTCTATTCTTCATGATCCTTTCTCCGTACTCCATTCTGCATACTCTATTCTCCTTTCTCCATACTCATTCTCCATACTCCATTCTTTTCTTTTTTCATCATAATCCATTCTTCTTGTTCCATACTCCTTACTCCTTTCTATGTATAGCATTCTCCATTTTCCATATGGTATACTTCATATTCACTTCTCTGTACATTACTCTCCATTCTTCACTTTTGATTTTCTATAATCCGTTCTTCATTCTTTTTCTCCATACTTCATTTTCCACATACCATTCTCCACTCCCCATTCTCTATACTCCTTTCTCTATTATCATTTCTTCATTCTCCTCCTCATACCTTATTCTCCATATTCCATTCTCCATTTTTTATTCTCCACATTCTGTACTCTGTACTCAATTCTTTCTTCATACTTCATTTTTCATACACCATTCTTCATTCTCCATTTTCTGTTCATCATTCTCCTTTCTCTATACCTCATTCTCTATACTCATTGTTCATTCGTTCTCTTTTCAACACACTCCGTTCTTCATACTTCATTCTCCTTACTCCTTTCTCTATACTTCATTCTCCATGCACCATTCCCCATCCTCCATTTTCCATACTATATACTTTATACTCCTTCCTCATATGCTGTTCTTCATTCTTTATTTTCTAATCTCCTTTCTTCATTCTTCGTACACCATGGTTCATTCTCCATTTTTAATCCTCCATACTCTATACTCTATACTCCATCCTGCTTTCTTCATACCCCACTTTACACACACCATTCTTCATTCTCCACTTTCTATTCTGCACACTCCCTTTTTCATACTCTTTTGTTCATAGTTCATTCTCGATGTTCCATTCCCTATTCACCTTTCTTCAAACACCATTCTCCATTTTCTATTTGCCATATTCTGTTCTTCATACACCTTTCCATTACAGTTTTTTATTCTCCATACTCTATGCTCTATTCTCCTTTCTTCATAGTCCATTTTACATATGGCATTCTGCATTCTTCATTCTCCCTTTTCCATACTACATTCTTTATACTCATATTCCATAGTCCATTTTCCATTTTTCTCCATACTCCATTTTTTTCTTCAACTTTTATTTTAAGTTCTGGGGTATATGTGGAGGATGTGCAGGTTTTTTATATAGGTAAACATGTGCCATGGTGGTTGGATGCACAGATCAACCCATCACCTAAGCATTAAGCCCAGCATCCATTATCTATTCTTCCTTATGCTCTCCCTCCTCCTGCCCCGTGACTGACAGGCCTCAGTGTGTGTTGTTCCCCCAATTCCATGTGTCCATGTGTTCTCATCATTTAGCTCCCACTTATAAGTGAGAATATGTGGTGTTCAGTTTTCTGTTCCTACATGAGTTTGCTGAGGATAACAACTTTCAACTCCATTCATGTCCCTGCAAAGGATGTGATCTCATTTTTAATGGCTGCATAGTATTCCATGGTGTATATGTACCACATTTTCTTTATCCAGCCTACCAGTGGTGGACATTCAGTTGATTCCATTGCTTTGCTATTGTGAATAGTGCTGCAATGAAACACGTGCTTGTGTCTTTATGATAGGATGATTTATATTCCTTTCGGTATATACCCAGTAATGCAATTGCTGGGTCAAATGCTTTTTCTGCATCTAGATCTTTGAGGAATCTCCACACTGCCTGCCACAAGGTTGAACTAATTTACATTCCCACCAACAGCGTAAAAGTGTTACTTTTTCTCTGCAACCTCACCAGCATATGTTGTTTCTTGACTTTTTAATAATTGCCATTCTGACTGGTGTGCTCCATACTCCATTCCTTATACACCATTCACCATCCTCCATTCTCCATAGGCTATTCTCCACTTTTCTTTCCCCATATTCCATTCTCCATACATCACTACCTATTCTCCATTCTCCATCTCTATACTCCATTCTCCTTTCTTCATACTCTACTCTCATACATCATTCATCATTCTCCATTTTGTATTTTCCATGCTTCGTTCTCCATACTCCATTTTGCTTTTGGCATTCTTCATTCTTCATACTGCTTTCTCCATACTCCATTCCCTATACTCCATTGCTCATTCTTCTCTCCTCATACTCCATTCTCTATACTCTATTCTTAATTCTCCTTTCTTCATATTCTCCATACACATCCTTCATTCTCCATTCTTTATACTCCACTTTCCATTCTCCTTTATCCATACATCATACTTTTCCATACATTTTCCAATCTCCACAATTCATTCTTTTTTCTCTATACTCTATTCTCCATATTCCATCCTTTGTACTCCATACTGTATTCTCCCTTTTTCTTTCTTCATCCTCCATCCTCCATTCTTCTTTCTCCACACTGCATTTTCCATTCTCCTTTCTCCAAGCTCCATTCTCCATGCACCATTTTCCATTCTCCATTCTTCATACTTCACACTGCATACTCCATTCTCCACTCTTTGTCCTCCATACTCCTTTCTTCATATGCCATTCTCCCTTCCCCCTTTTCCAATTCCGTCCTTTGTTCTCCAAACTCTGTACTCAGTTATTCTTTCTTCACATTTGATTCTTCATGCACCGATTTCCATTCTATATTTTCCATTCTCCATACACCATTCTCAACTTTCCATTTTCCATATTGTATGCTTCATTGTTCTTTTCAATATTTCTCCATTCTCCATAAACAATTCTCCATTCTGTGTGTACCATTCTCTATTCTTCATTTCTTTCTCCACACTCCATGCTCCCTAGTTCATAGTTCATAATCCATTCTCTATTCTTTTCTCTATACGTCATTCTCCATATCTCTTTCTCCATTTTCCATTCTCCACGCTCCATTCTCCTTTCTTTATTTTCCATTCTCCATACTCCATTATATGTTGTCCGTTTTCATTCTTCATTCTTTATTCTCTGTAGTCCATAGCCCATAAATCATCCCTCATTTTCCTTTCTCCACACTCCATATACATACCGTTCTCTATTCACCATACTGCATACTCTGTACACTGTCCTCCATTCTCTTTTCTCCATACACCATACTTTTCACTTTATACTCCATTTCCACACATCTTTTTTATACACCATAGCCCATATTTCATACCACATTGTCCTTAATTTATTCTCTGTAGACCGTTATCTATCTATTCTACTCCATTCTCCAATTTTATTCTTTATTTTGTATACTTCTTTGTGCATGCATTTCTCGTACTGCATATGCCATTCTTCATACTCTATATTCTATTCTCCATATTCCATACTTCATATTCATTGTTCACACTCCACTCTCCATTCTCCATACACCATTTTCCTGCTCCAACTGCTTTCAATTCTTTGTTATTTATTTTCCATTTTCCATTCTTTATACTCCATACACCATTTTCCATACTCCATAACCCACTTCATACTCTATTCTGCAGTAGTTCTCATACCCCATATTCAAAGTTATGGATTATGGATTACTGCCCCCATTGTGTGCAGATCCAGTGCTACCTGCCTTACCTTAGTTTCTGGGAACATCTACCATATATCAGGCCTTGCACTAGGCCTTCCTCTTGGACCATATATTGCTTCAGGTTCTCTGTGCACACATGCAGTACACACTTTGCACAATATTTATCATACTTGGTACTCCATTCTCCATACTCTATACTCCATACTTCATTCTCCATACTCAGTCTCCATATTCTGTACTTTTTCTCCATTCTCCATCCTCCAAGTTTCATACTTCATACACCTACCATTGTCCATATTCCACTCTCTATTCTCCATTTTCCATATTCCATTCCATTCTCCATTTTCCATGCTCCAGGTATCATTCTCCATAATCTAGACCCCATTCCATTCTTTATTCTTCATACTCTATTCCTCATTCTTCATTTTCCATGCTCCACATTTTTTTCTCCATACTCCATACTTTATATTTTATTCTCTATATGCTATAGTCCAAGCTATATTCCATTCTCCATACCCCCTCTCTATATTCTATGTTCTTTATATTTCATCTCCTTTCTCCCTAGTCTATACGCTGTGCCCCATTCTTCATTGCCCTATCTCCATAGTTCATTATCTATTCTCTGTATTCTAGCTGTATATTTTTATCCCATTCTCTTTTCTCATGCTTCTTTGTCTATTCTCTGTCTTTCATACTCTGTACTCTTTTGTTTATATTCTACACACATGCTCCTCAACTTACAATGGGGTAACATCTTGACCTCCATGGTAAATTGAAAATATTACAAGTCATAAATTCATTGAGTACACCTAATCTACTGTACATCATAGCTTAGCCCAGCCTACCTTAAACATGCTTAGAACACTTACATTAGCCTGGGTGACTAAGGGCTGTGACTCTCCATGGCTGCCCACTGTGATGATACAGTATTATAGGCCAGGAAAAATCAAAATTCAGTATGGTTTCTACTGACAGCCCATTGCTTTCACACCATTGTAAAATTGAAAAATAGTAAATGAAATCATAAGTCAGAAATCAACTGTACTCCATTCTTTATTCTCTATACTCCATAATCCAGTCTTCATATTCTATACCTCATTCTCCATTCAACATAACATTCTCCACTCTACAGGAATGCCTCAAAGCTATTGCAGGTTCAGTTCCAGACCACAACAATAAAGCAAATATTGCAATAAAACAAGTAACACATTTTTTTTTGCTTCCCAGTGCATATATGCTTATACTATACTACAGTCTATTAAGTGTGCAATAGAATTATGTCTAAAAAACAATATATACACCTTAGCTTAAAAAAATTGTATCGCTAAAAAATGCTAATGATCATCTGAGCCTTCAAGGAGTCATGATCTTTTTGCTGGTGGAGGGTCTTGCCTAGTTATTGATGGCTGCTGGCTGATCAGGGTGGTGGTTGCTGAAGGATGGGGTGGCTGTGGCAATTTCTTAAAATAAGACAACAAGGAAGTTTGCCACATTGATCGGCTATTCCTTTTATGGAAGATTTCTCTGTAGCATGTGATGCTGTTTGATAGCATTTTAACCACAGTAGAATTTCTTTCAAAATTGGAATCAAGCCTCTCAAACCCTGCCACTGCCTTATCAACTAAGTTGACGCCATATTCCAAATCCCTTGTTGTCATTTCAACAATATTCACTGCATCTTCTTTAGCAGGAGTAGATTCCATCTCAAGAAAGCACAATCTTTGCTCATCCCTAGAAACAACTCCTCATCTGATCAAATTTTATCATGAGGCTACAGCGATTTCATCATGTCTTTAGGCCCCACTGCTAGTTTTCTTGCCATTTCCATAATGTCTGCAATTACTTCATCCACTGAAGTCTTAAGCTCCTTAAAATCATCCATGAGTGAAATGGCTCCTTCCAATCTCCTGCTAATGTTGCTATTTTTACCTCCTCCTATGAATCACAAGTGTCCTTAATGCCATCTAGAATGGTGAATCCTTTTCAGAAGCCTCTCAATTTACTTTGCTCAGATTCAGATCCATCTGAGGAATCTCCGTCTATGGGACTGATAGCCTTACAAAGTATATTTCTTAAATAATATGATTTGAAAGTCAAAATTACTCTTTGATCCATGGGCTGCAGAATGGATGCTGTGTTAGCAGGCATGAAAACAACATCTGACTCCTGGTACATCTCCATCAGAGCTCTTGAGTGACCAGGTGCATTCTTAATGTATAGTAAAATTTTGAAAGGAATTTTTTTCTGAGCAGTAGTTCTCAAAAGTGGACCTCAAATATTGAGCAAATCATTCTCTAAACAGACGTGCTGTCATCCAGGCTTTGTTGTTCCACTGACAGAGCACAAGCAGAGTAGATTTAGCATAAAAATTCTTAAGGGCCCTAGAGTTTTTGGAATTGTGAATGTTGGCTTCACCAGCTCTATTAGCCATAACAAAACAGTCAGCCTCTCATATGAAGCTTTGAAGCCAGGCATTGACTTCTCCTCTCTAGCTATGAAAGTCCTAGATGGGATCTCCTCCCCATAGAAGGCCATTTCATCTACATTGAAAATCTGCTATTTAATGTAGTTACCTCCCTCAATGATCTTAGCTAGATCTTCTGGATAAGTTGCTGCAGCTCTTATATCAGCACTTACTGCTTCACTTTGTACTTTTATGTTATGGAGATGGCTTCCTCCCTTAAACTTCATGATCTAAGTTCTGCTATCTTCCAACTTTTCTTCTGCAGCTTCCTCACCCTTCACAGAATTGAGGAGAGTTAGGGCCTTGCTCTGAATAAGGCTTAAGGGAATGTTATGGGGGGTGTGATCTTTTATGCAGACCACTAAAATTTCTCCCTATCAGCAAAAGACTGTTTTGCTTCTTTGTTATTCGTGTGTTCATTGGAGTAGCATTTTTAATTCCCTTCAAGAACTTTTCCTTTACATCCACAATGTGACTAATTGGTGCAAAAGGCCTAGCTTTCACCTATCTTGGCTTTCAACAGGCCTTTCTCAGTAAGCGTAATCATGTCTAGTTTTTTATTTAAAGTGAGAGACATGAGACTCTTTTTGCATTTGAACACTCAGAGGCCATTGCTGGTTTATTAATTGGCCTAATTTCCATACTGTTGTGCCTCAGTGAATAGAGAGGCCTGAGGAGAGGGAGAGAGATGGGGGAATGGCCAGTTGGTAGAGCAGTCAGAGCACAAACAGCACATCAATTAAGTTCCCCATCTTATATGGGCATGGTTCAGAGCACCCCAAAACAATGATAATAGTAACCTCAAAGATCACTGATCACAGATTGCCATAAATGCTAAAATAATAAAGTGTGAAATATTTGAAGAATTTCCCAAATGTGACCCAGAGACACGAACTGAGCACACACTACTGGAAAAAATGGTACCAATAGACTTGCTGGACTCAGGGTTGCTACAAACCTTCAATTTGTAAAAAACACAATATTTGCAAAGCACGATAAAACCAGGTGTGGCTGTGCGTTCTCTATCCTCCATTCTCATTATCCATCTACGGTCTCCAGAATCCATACTCCATACCCCACATTGCATTCCCCATCACCATTCTGCGTTTTCTATACTCCATCCCGCAAACTCCAATTTCCATTTTCCACACATCATTTTCCATTCTCCATCCCCCACACTCAGTACTTCATCCTTCATATTCTGTACTTCATTCCTTGTTTTCCGTTCTCCATGCTCTATGGTTCATACTCTATTCTTCATACTTCATACTCCATACTCCATTCTTGACGCGCCATTCTCCATATTCTGCGCTCATTTTCCACATTCCTCTCCTTTTCATACTCCATTCTTCATTCTCCATACTCTGTTATTAGATGCTACAGTTTCCCTTGTTCATTCTCCATACTTTTCTGTCCATATTCTATCCAGATGCTTCTGAGTTATGAGAGTTATGTCTTGATAAACACATCATACGTGAAATACATTGTTTAAGTCCAAAATGCATTTAATACACCTAATCTACTGAAAATCATAGCTGAGCCCAGCCTGTCTGGAACATGCTCAGAGCACTCACACTAGCCTGGCTGACTGGGGGCTGTGGCTCGCGGTTGCCCAGCAGCTTCATGAGACAATATTCTACTTCAGGTCACTAGCCTGGGAAAACGTCAAAATTCCAGATTTGAAGTATGGCTTCTACTGAATGCACATCACTTTCACACCATTGTAAAAAAAAATTGTAAGTTGAACCATTGTAAGTCAGGGACTGACTGTACTCCGTTCTCTAATCTCCATTCTGCACGCTCCATTTTCCATGTGCTCCTCTCCATACTGCACACTTCTTTCTCTATTCCCCACTCTGCATCACTGTTCCCCATACAGCATGCTCCATGACCCACTCTTACGATGCATTCCACATTCTGTCCACCATACCCTACCTCACGCTCCACCCTCCATTCTCAATTCTCCATCCTCCTTACACCAAACTCCATCTCTACTCCCTTTTTCATTCTCCATGCTCCATTCTTCATTCTCCATGCTCCATCCTCTCAACCCCATTTGCTACCTCTATCATCCATTCTCCACTCTCCATTCTCCATACTCACTCCATTTTCCATACATCTTCCATGTTCCAGGCTGCTACAGCATTCTTCAGACTTCATTCTCCATCCTCCATTCTTCATCTTGTATACTCTGCCTCCACATTCAGTCTTTTCTTTATACTCCATTTCCCATTCTCCTCACTTCACTCTCAATGTTCCATGCTCCATTCTCCATCCTTTATAGCCAGTGCTCCATTCTCCATGTTCTCTTCCCCATTCTTCATGCCCACTGTCTATTCTGCTTACTCCATTCTCCATGTCCCATATGTCCCCATGCTTCACACTGTGTACCCCACACTCCATTCTTTCTGTTCCATCCTTCACACACCATTATGTCCACTCACACCCCTCTCTCCTGGAGGCTTTTCTATCTTTCTTCTTGTCTCTGACTTCCAGCAGCCCCCTCCACCATCCTGTCCCACTAGGGACCTGGCCTTTCAGTTGTCTCGGTGCACATCACGCCCTGCCCCATGCCCACCAACACGTGCTGTGCCCACCAACCTCTGTGCCTATCCCATGAAATCGCTCCTTTCCCTCAATGTTGGGTGGAAACTCCCCATGCTCCTTCAAAGTTCACCCGTCCATTGGAGAGCAGGTTCCTGCCCCAGCTCAGGATATCGCGGCAGGAGGAACGTTCTCACAGGCCCCTCTCCTGGGTTAACCTGACTCTGCCTCAGCCTCTCCTTCTAGGAGACCTCAACCTGCAACAGCCCAAACCTTCCCCTAAGGAAGAAATGATAACAGTTGCTAGTGAGTTTGGAGTCTTCCTTCACTCACCAAATCCCAAAAGGATATGATCTGAAAGTCAAAATTAGGAGGACAGTGAAAGAGCCATGCAGCTATCCGGGAAAAGATCCCCTTTCAGGGTCCTTCCAACGTCCTGATGAAGGATATTCCTTTCATCTGAAAACCAGCAAACACACGGGCCACCCAGACGATTCCTCCACTGTGTCTCCACTTGACCCCAGCCTGTCCTCTCCTTAACACACCCCAAGCTCAGCAGTGACCCCCTCAAGGCACTCCACCCAAGGTCCTGGCTCAGGACCCCCTTACCTGAATAATCGTTCACATCCGGCACCTCCCTGGGTCACTTTCTCTCCTTGAGCTATTGCCTACACCTTGCCCCAGGCGGCAGGACCCTCCTGGGTGTATCCCACCATCTGGGCGTTTTAGTCTGTGCTTCATTGCTCAGCGTCCTCATCTTCCTCTCTTTTCCATGCTGCGGGGCCTGGCTTGGTCCCTTTCCATCCACATTCGCAGACTTGGTGACCTCTCTGCTTATGACCACATGGACTGCCTCTGTGCCGACTCTCGTGCCCAGGCTCCATTGCAGACCCAGATAGTTGCGTGCAACCTTGAGGTTCCCATTCACTCTTGTCTGACAAGTTTTTCCATCAGAACCAGGCCAATGCCAGCTTCCCTCCTCCCTCCTGCTCCCACCTCATCTCCGCATCTGATTCCTGCACAGATGTCTGGGCACCAGGCTTGGCTCGTCTTTCTCCGACTCCCCAACCTCGCATCTGTTGGAGGCACCCAGAATCCTACCACCCTCAGAACTCCACATCCCCCACCCCAGTCCAAGCCACCATTTTGGCTCCTGGATTACAAAACCAATGTCCTCAGTGATCCTCCTGCTTTTGCCCTGGCCTCCTTCCAACCACTCTCCACACAGCGGCTGGGGGTGGAATGATCTTGTTACAACATAAGACAGACCCGTCCCTCTTCTGCTCAGAGCCCTGCATCAGCCCTGCCTCGCTCAGAGTAAAGTTTTAAGTGCTTGCAGTGCCTGACTAAGACCCACAGGTCTGGCCTGGAATCCCTCTAGCCACCTGGTTGCACATTTGTTCAGCCAACTCCAGCCTTCCTATTCCCCTTGCTGTTCCCTGACTGTACCCAATGAGGTCATGCCCCAGGGCCTTTGCACTTGCTGTCCATGCTGCCTGGGGCTGTGTTTTCTCGGGTCGCTGCAGAGCTTTTTCTCCCCTGACCTTGCATTAAATCAGGATTTGGTGAGTGAATGAAGACTCTGGCCTCGTTAGAAACGATTATCATTTCTCTGTCAGGAGGAGGATTAAAAAGCCAAAATTTGGGTTGTTGCGAGCTGAGTTCTCAGAGGAGAAGATGCTGAGATGGAGTCGGATGAGCACAAGGTGCGCTGGGAGGACACCTATGAAAATACAGACATGGCTGCAGGATGGGGCAGAGGCAGCCCCCAAGTCCCAGTGTCCCCTGCGAAGGGCTCTGCCAAGCTAAGGGACCACAGGAGCAAGGGTCGGGCATCAGGAGAGTGTCCCTTGGGTGGAAGTGGCTGGGCCCTTGTACCGCTGCCTGGCTAAGTCCTTGGCCAGGGGAACCCCAAGAACAGCCTGATGTTGGCACGAAAGCCGAGGTGGATTCTGGAGGCTCTGGACACTCGAGCATCAGTTGTCTTCACTCCTCGCAGTGGGCAGGGAGCCCTTTCTCCATGCAGCTCTGCATGACACCCCTGTGCTGCGTCATCCACTTCCCTACACATGATGCAAGAGCAGCTCACAGGGCCCTGGGAACAGGGCTCCTGGGACAAACCACAGCCCCCGCTCACTGGAGCTCCTCTGGGGCTGTGAGCAGCACTTACCATCTCCCTCTTCCTCCACCCAGTCTGCACTCCCCTCACCTCTCACCTGCATGGTCTGGCCCCAGCACAGGCCCTTCTTGGGCCAGGGCCACTTTACTTGTCCATTCATGGTCCACCTAGCCAAGGAGTACAAGGGGCACATGAACGGGTCCCCTGCAGTCTGCCCGTGTCTCTCCCAGGCCACACTGGGCTGCCGCAGCCCTGCCTCCTCCTGCCGGCCAGGGTCAGTTGACCCCAACGAGGTGCCATCTCCTCTTCTTGCTGGTCCTTGGACATAGGAATCCAAAGGGCCCAGGTGGCAGACAGACCTTGAAGTTCAAGGACACCCTCTCTGCACCCTTGCCAGGGTTCTCCTTCAGGCACAGGGGCCTCCAATGCCGCAGAGCCAGGCATTAAGGACACAGGAAACAGGAGGTCCCCATGGAGCACTGGGAATGATGGGAAGCGGGGCCACCCCGACAACCACCCCCGTTCTCAGCATCATATGCACGTCTCCTGTTGGGGACACAGGGCTGCATGAAGCTCCCTGGTGCATGCTGAGACTTGTCTCTGAGCTGGTGCTCCTGCTGCACCCCAGATGGGCATTCCAGCTTCCCAAGCCCTGGTACTGGGCTGTGGTCGGGCCTCCTCCGAGACAGGCCCCACTCATAGCTGCAGCTTCCCTGTTGCCCAGAGTATGGCCCAGGGCAATATTCCCTGGAGTGGGGCCACTGACTCCCCACATTCTCAAGAATCGGGGCCACTGACTCCCCACATTCCCAAGAGTGGGGGCCGCTGACTCTCCACATCCCCAAGAGTGGGGTCCACTTTCTCTCCACATCCCCAAGAATGGGGGCCACTGTCTCCACATCCCCAAGAGTGGGGGCCACTGACTCTCCACATTCCCAGGAGTGGGGGCCGCTGTCTCTCCACGTTCCATGGAGTGGGGTGCACTGTTTATTCCATTCCTGGGAGTAGGCGACACTGTCTCCCCACATTTCCAGGAGTAGGGGGCACTTTCTTTGAAAAGCAAAGAGGCCTAGCCAGCTTTGTGCCTCCTTTGTCACAGGGGAGACACGTGCAGCCATGTGTCTTTTATTTCGACGTGCAAACATGCCCCTGAACCTGGGCCTCTGAGAACTTTCCTGCAGGTCTGGCCCCTGGATCTTTGCAGGGCTTACCACACGTCCTCCTGAGCACATCCTAAGGAAGACCCCAGTGCGTCCGCTACCCCCACTCATCCTGCTGGCTCCCTGTTAAGTCATTCATGTTCAATTAATGATCCATTGACTCAATGGGCTGTACTGCAGATGTCAGGATGTCTAGATCTCTTCTATCTTTTTTTTTGAAATTGTGATAAAATATACAAATCACAAAGTTTACCATCTTAACCATTTTAAGTGTATAGTTCAGTGGCATTAAATACATTTATATTGGTGCCATCGCCACCATCCGTCTCCAGAACTTTCTCATCTTCCCAAGCATGGGGAGGGGCACGTTTGGATGTGTAAATCAAAGACACACGCTGCATGTGTCTCCCCTGTGACAAAGGAGAAGGCACAAAGCCAGCGAGGCCTCTTTGCTTCTGAAAGACAGCGCCCCCTACTGAAACTGTCTCCATTACACAACAGTTCCCGCGTCCCCCCACCCAGCCCTTGGCCACCATCATTCAGTCATAGCTATGAGGGTCAAATTCTACTCTAAGGACCTCATAAAACTGGAATTAGACAACATCTGTCCTTTTGCAACCGGCTTATCTCACTGAGCATCAAGTCCTCAAGGTTCACCCACGTCGTCGCCTGTGTCAGAATTTCCTTCCTGAACATGGCTGAATAATATTCCACAGCATGGATGGACCACATTTTGTATATTCATTTGTCTCTCAATAGATACTTGAGTTACCTTCACCTTTTGGCTGTTGTGAATAATGCTGCTGTGAACATGTGTAGACAAGCATCTCTTTGTGTCTCAGCTTTCGTCTCTTTTGGGCATAGAATCAGAAGCGGGATTGCTGGGTCGTATGGGAATTCTATCTTTAATGTTGTGAGGAGCCACCATAGTGTTCTCCAGCGCAGCTGCATCATTCTACACTCTCACCAGCAGTGCCCGGGGGTTCCAACATTGCCACGTCCTTGCCTTATTATTTTCGGGGTTTCTTAGCGGCCATCCTAGTGGGTGAGAGGCAGTATCTCGTTCTATTTCCCTGATGATTACTGATGTTCGGCGTCTTTTCATGTGCTTATTGGCCATTTGTATATCTTTTTTGGAGAAAAGCTTCTTCAAGTCCTCTGTCAGATTTTTGGACTGGGTTATTTTGTAGTTGTCATTGTTGAGTGGTTCTTTGTATGTGCTAGGTAT
This sequence comes from Homo sapiens, assembly GCF_000001405.40. Lineage (NCBI taxonomy): Eukaryota > Metazoa > Chordata > Mammalia > Primates > Hominidae > Homo > Homo sapiens. The sequence goes on from NW_021160004.1 coordinate 267,738, forward strand.
TAGCTCTAGCATATATATGGTTTGCAAATATTTTCTCCCATTTCATAGGTTACCTTTTCATTTCTTCAACCTTTTAACAGATCATGGAAGAGGTCCCAGGAGCACAGAGCCACACCATCCATTCCATGGGAGTGGGAACTAGAGCTGACAGCTTTCATCAGCCAAGCCTGCAACACACCCACAAATCATAGTCACACACTGCACACCTGAGGCTTTGGCAAAAACACCGCATCCAGCACATCGGTTGTGACCAGAGACAGGGCCACATTGAGCCTGCAGGAGTCATGTCCATTTTCCAGAATCTATCCCATCTATTCACCTTCCACAAGGACCAGACCAGTGAATGAACACACAGACACACACACACACACGCACACGCACAAGAGAGAGAGATGAAAGCAATTGGCTCCCATGATCTGTCCCGTCTGCAAGCTGAGACCCGGGAGAGCCGGTGGAGTAAATCGCAGTCCGAGGGCAGGAGATGAGATAAGACATCCCAGCTCAAGCAGTGACGCAAGAAAAAGAGGGCAGATTCTTCTTCCCCTGCCTTTCTGTTCTATTCAGGTTCACACTGGATGGGAGGAGGCCCCCACGCTGGGGAGGGCATCTGCCTTCCTGAGTCCACCAATCCCAATACTCATCTCACCCAGAATCAACCTCGCAGACATGCCTGGATCAAGGTTTAATCTGGGCACCCTGTGGCCCAGTTAAGTGAACACATAGAAATAATTCGTCACACCAGAGATCTTGATGGTGCATACAAACATCCACTGTCCTCGCCGAGATGCGATTGTGTTTCTGATTTATTATCTTGACCGAGGATGCTTTCAGTGACCTACACTTGACCTCCTCACTTCACTTATGGTAGCTTTCACCTCACAGGCCAAGGACGTATTTATGGGGATTACTGTAACTGCCAAATATCTCAATCCCAATGGAATATTCAGAGACTGTAAAAATGACCACTGGATGGGGTCATGAACCCTGCCTGAGGGCCCATTCTAAGTTTGGCAGGGACACCATTCACTTCTTGACCCATGAGGCTCCTCTCTAACAGAAGACGATGATAACGTTTCAGGTCTTGTTTGTTTGTTTTGCGAGACAAGGTCTTGCTATGTTGCCCAGGCTGGAGTGCGGTGGCATGATCATGGCTCACTGCAGCCTCAAACCCCTGGGCTCAAATGATCCTCCTGCCTCACCTGGGACCCCAGGTGTGCACCACCATGCCTGGCTAATTTCTCTTAATTTTTCTTTGTTTGTCTCTCTACAAAAGGGTGTCTCTCTACAAAAAAAGAAAAATTAAGAGAAATTAGCCAGGCGTGGTGATGCACAGGCTGGTCTTCATCTCCTGGGTGCAAGCGATTCCTCCTTGGCCTCCCAAAGTGCTGTGATAACAGGCATGAACCAGTGTGCCCAGCCACCCTCCAGGTCTTTAGATGCCAGCGTCAACTCAGAGCCTGTGTCCATCGGTCCTACAATGTGAGGGGTCTCTGTGCCAGAGTGCTCAGCCCTGTGAGTAAATGCCACGTTCCTTTGCGAGAACATTCCAGCAAATGCTGGCAGTGGTGTTGCTGGGCCTTCCCTCTGCAGACCTTGGCTGCGTCTTCAAGCAACAGGCTCTGGGTCAGAAAATAAACTCAGATACGGACATGGGGCAAGACAGCACGGCTTCTTATCGGAGCGATCACTTTCAGCCTCTTCCCCATTCATTCATAGTCTCTGTTCATTAAATAAACAGCTTTATTGAGGTATTATTGACATACAATAAACTGCACATATCTAAAATGTACAGTTTGATACATTTTAAAACGCGAAACTTGTGTCCACTCATGTCCTCAGAAACGGTCACCATGATGGGGACAGTGGGCACGTCCCCTCCCTGACGGTGTCCTCCTGCCCCTTTGTAACCCTTCCTGTCACTCTTCCCTTTCCCCAGCCCCCATGAGCCACTGCTGACCTGCTTTCTACCGCATTTCTGAGTTTCACTGTATATATGGAAATATACAGTGAGTCTTCTTTTTCCTCTGGCTTCCTTCATTCAGAAAATTCTCTTGAGCTTCACCCTTGTTTGTTGTTCTGTATGAGTAACTCACCCCTTCCTGTTGCTAACTATACCCTCCTGCCTGGCTAGACCAGAGCTTGTTTTTATCTGTTCATCTGTTGATGAACACCTGAGTCATATCCAGGTTTTGGCTATTACAAAAAAAAAAAAAAAGATTCTGTGAATATTCATGCACAAGTCTTTGCATCAACATATTTTTTTTCCTCTTGAGTAAATATGTAGGAGTGGAATGGCTGGGCCCTGTGCTGGGTGAATATTCAACTTTCTAAGAAACTGCCAGATTGGTTTCCAAATGGTTGTACCATACCCTGTACCCACAGTGA